>NC_000009.12:102159945-102311461 GCF_000001405.40 Homo sapiens
ATCTGGAAAAGTACAAATGGTATTTTTACTTGTATTGAACTTTAGGTTTTTAGATCTTTTGTCTGAAGACTGCTTCCCTGAAAAAGAAAAAAAGAGAGAGAAGTAAACATAGAGATTAGGTATTATTTTCTGATATTATTTTTACTTGTTACCCCTGACCTTAGGATTATTCTTTTGAGATCTGTGCCTCAAACATAATTATAAATGTCCTTTTTTATGTTAAGTGTTTTCTACAAGTCTTTTGCTAATAGATCTTAAACAATATGGTATAATTTGTATTGATTTTTGTCCCTATGTATCTGTTGTCGGGCCATTATTCAATACATGGCACATTTTTTATTCTTTGAACTAGTAATTCAACCTTTAAAAATATATCCTAAGTAAATATTTGCACCTTCATATAAGAAGAACTTGGAATGTTACTGCAGTATTGGTCATTATACTGTCCATCAACATGGGAGTGAAAAAATACTATGCAGCTATTAGAAAGAATAATATTGATCTATGTATTAGTCCATTCTCATGCTGCTACAAGGAAAAACCCAAGACTGGGTAATTTATAAAGAAAATAGGTTTAATTTACTCACAGTTCCACATAGCTTGGGAGGCCTCAGGAAACTTACATTCATGGCAGAAGGGGAAGCAAACATGTCCTTCTTCACATGATGGCAGGAAGAAGTGCCAATTGAAGTGGGGGAAAAACCCATTATAAAACAATCCGATCTCATGGGAACTCACTCACTATCACGTGAACAGCATGGGGGAACCACCCCCATGATTCAATTCCCTCTCACCGGGTCCCTCCGATGACACGTGAGGATTATGGGATTATAATTCAAGATGAGATTTGGGAGGGAACACAGAGCCAAACCATATCATTCCACCCCAGCCCCTGCCAAATCTCGTCATCACATTTCAAAACACAATCATGCCTTTCCAACAGTCCCCCAAAACCTTAACTCCTTCCAACATTAACCCAAATGTTCAAATCCAAAGTCTCATCTGAGATAAGGCAAGTCCCTTCTGCCTGTGAGCCTGTAAAATTGAAATCAAGTTAGTTACTTTCTAGATACAATGAGGGTACAGGCATTGGGTAAATACACCCACTCCAAATGGGTGAAATTGGCCAAAACAAAGGGGCTACAGGCCCCATGCAAGTCCAAAATCCAACAGGGCAGTCACCAAACCTTAAAGTTCCAAAATGACCTCCTTTGACTCCATGTCTCACATCCAGGTTACACTGATGCAAGAAGTAGACTCCCATGGTTTTGGGCAGCTCTGCTCCTGTGGCTTTGCAGGGTACAGCCCTACACCTGGCTGCTTTCACAGGCTGATATTGAGTGTCTGTGGCCTTTTCTGGTGCACAGTACAAGCTACTGATGGATCTACCATTCTGGGGTCTGGAGGATGGTGGCCTTCCTCTGACAGCTCCACTAGGAAGTGCCCCAATTGGGACACTGTGTGGGGGCTTCAGCCTCACATTTTCCTTTACACTGTTCTAGCAGAGGTTCTCCATGAGGGCCCTGCCCCTGCAGCAAACCTCTGCCTGGACATACAGATCTTTCCATACATCCCCTGAAATCTAGGCAGAGGTTCCCAAACCTCAATTCTTGCCTTCTGCACAGCTGGTGGCCCAACAACACGTGGGAGCTACTAAGAGCTGGGGCTTACACCCTCTGAAGCAAAAGCCTGAGCTATACCTTGGCCCCTTTTAGCCAATGCTAGAGTGGCTGGGACTCAGAGTACCAAGTCCCAAGGTTGCAAACAGCAGGTAGGCCTAGGACTGGGCCCAGGAAAACATTTTTCCCTCTGCCATGATTCTATTACCGCCCACCAGGTCCATCCCATGACATGTGGGAATTATGGGATTATAATTCAAGATGAGATTTAGATGGAGACACAGAGACAAACTCTATCAATTTGTGTATGTGAAAATAGGAGTATCTCTCTAAAATAAATTAGTAAGTGAAGGAAGTAGAATAATATTATGACAGTAGCTAACTTTTGTTGTTTTTTTTTAACCATGTGGCATGGTTCTAAGTACTTCATATGAATTTATGAATTTCATCTTCACAACTGCCCCCTGAAGGAGATATTATTATCATCTACATTTTACACATAAGGAAACTGAATCACATAGAAATTACATAATTTTCTGATGGTTGCATAGCTAACAAGTGGCAGATTTTGGATATCTATCCAAGATAACTATTGGTCTGAGTCAGTACTTACAATCATGGGTATATTGCCCACAAATAGCTAATGAATGATGTATTTGATGAGCTTTTATCCATGAAAATATAAAGTGTCAAATATTAATTTGTATATATATACATGTATAAACACATACACTTTTTTTCCCTATAAGAAAGCACAGGAAACTATTGTTAAACTCTGGAGTTGAATCTGACAATCCAGAAAATCACTGAGATTTACTTTTTCCAGTTTGAAAACATGAAAGACTCACTTTTATAATGTTTGAATATTTTACTATGTTTATTAAGTCATTTCAATAGTAACAAAGGAGAATTTGAAAACATTGCTTTAAAAATTTCAATGTTATCTAGTAATTAATGTGTAAAAATTGAGAATACTTCCTGATGAAACAGATCTCTACAACCTTCTTAGGGAATCCTGCTTGTGTTTCTTCAGGATGTTTATTATGAGTTTTCTTATAATCACAAATGCATATGTGAATGTATCTGGCCATTCTTAATCAAATTCTAAAAATAAAATACTTTCTCCAAAGGCTTTACTTACACTTCACTAACCAAAAAAAGTTTTTTTAATTGAATAATAAGTAGAATTTTCCATTTGTTTGTTTAGCTACTTTCCTTAGTATAATAAATTGTAAAAATAAAAAGTGAAGAAATTATGAGATATTCTTCTTAAATAGAATACAACTTTGAGATATTTAGAATTTTCACAAATTATACTATTTCAATTTTTAACTGATATTAAGAATACATCACACATTTTCCCATTTTGTCAGATTTTCTAAAGAACAAGCTTTCAGTGATCTTAGTCTTGTCTCTCTCATCTTTCAGCTTTAATCATATTCTCCACATGGTACATATGATTGGAGGGTTATTAATTTCCTTACAAGTTTATAGTGTCTTTATATTCAGTAGTACTCTGCCTCACTCCTAAAAACTTCATTTTCTTTCACTAAGACATTGTTTTTCTATTCTATTTTTGAACTGTATGTCTCATTTCATCAAGTCATAGTGATACTCAGATTAATAAGATATACATGTATATGTATACATATATCCAAATTAGAATGCTGTATATCATTTCCAGTGTTTGCAAATGTACAGTGAATAGATATGCTTATGCATTGCTAATGGAAATGAAAATAGGTAAAATGTTTGCAGTGTGATTTTTGTGAGATAATCTGTCATCAGTGAATTAATAGTCTCCTTCTTATATTTCTTGAGAGAAATTCTGCTCCCAGTCTCAATCCCGTCATTTTGCTACTTTAATGAATGAGTCATAAATCTGAATCATGCTCTTCCACACAAACCAATTCATCTTTTTTCTTTTCCAAGTTTCTGGAATTGGAAGAAGTATTAAAACGGTCATTGATCCTCAATTCTTCCAGTTTTTTTGAAAACTTATTTTATCATCTTGCTCCATAGGCAGAGCAGAGCTGGAAAACCAGAAAACTTACCTAAGTTTGCCAGGAATCCGGGCTTGGTATTGGGGAGTAGGACTTACTAGTTGATTGTACCATACATAAATTAAACAGCTATTACCACAACATAGACAGCATTTGAATTCCAACTATTGAGCAATTTCGGAGAAATTAAAAATTCACTGGATTGCTAAATTATCCATGGATACACTAAATTATCCATATTGATAAAAGCCATCATATTAAAGTAGACGAATTTGAAGAAAATACATCATTAACTGGCAAACCAGGGGAGAAATTAGTCTTCCTAGGGCCAAATCAGTCAATACATGTTCATTCACCTCAGTTGTTTCGTGTTGTTTCTTCAATATTTTAGAAAACTCAGAAGTTAATTAAACATACAAATGATTAAGTTTAATTAGATATATATTACTGTGTGTATAAATTTGCCAATATGTATCTCTAACATATCAGTATTTCTATGCCTATGTCCTAACCATTTAGCAAACTATATCTAGTTTACTCCTAATATGATTTAAATGAGTCTTATCTATTTCTCCAATCTTTACAAATTCCCAAATTCCAGAATACCTTCTTGTATTGTTACAGTTAAATCTTAAAATACAGCATGAATATGACTATCAAGATTATTTAATCTAATATGAACAGACCAAGATAGTGCCCCACAGAAAAAATATTTCCTGTTCTCCAAAAGAATGACTTTCTTAGGCATAGTCCCAGGCCATGAATAAATAACTACTAGAAATAGTTTCAAATGTATCTCAATCAATCAGACACAGATACCATGCTCTTGGCAGCCAATCAGCAGCAAACACTCCAGAGACAAAGTTTCTACAACTGAAAGCCATCCAGGTTTAGAACATGTGATTCTCAAAGTCCACTAATACCTGAGCTTCTTCCTACTTCTAACCCTATCTAAGATCACTATGTGCATTCTTTGGAGAGACTCACTTTGCAAATGCTACTCTTTCCTGCTGAACAAGCAATAAATTTAGGTTTTCTGTTACAGATATTTGAAACAAAGAAAGATGGTTTCTTCTTCTAACATTTCTATTACAAATAAGGTCTAAATAAGAATAGTTTATTGCAAGGTAAGCTATACACATTTTCTTTAAGGAGAAAAGATAGAAATTTTAACTAATGCTTATTTGTGGGAAAGATATAAAAATTAGAAAAAAAATGTTAGAACTAAACGATAATAACAATAATAAAAACTTGTACACAACTCAAGTAGACACTAGCGGTGATGAATAAAATATATATAAGCAAAAATAAAGATTAAAAGTTAATGAGAATTCAGGAAAGTAAAAAAGATATGTAAATAATAAAATCTGAAAAAGTAGAAATAATTGAAAATAGAAGAAAATATTAAAAATGCAAGCTAAGAAACAATGTAGAGTAGAAAAAAGACTAAGAACATAGACAAACTTGTAGACATATTGAACAGGAAAACAAGATGATAAAAACAACAAATATTAATCATGAAAATGGAGTCCTCTATAAAAAATGATGAAGGGGTGTTTTGAATAACTTTATGCCAATGCATTTAAAGTGTGGCTAAAGTCAATTAAAGAGTCTAGGACTAAGGAATCTCTGAGCAGGCAAAGCCAGTTAGATCTCATAAGTGACTTTAACCTTGCTTGTTTGCAAACATGAATAAAATTTAACTGGAACTATTTATTTAAAATGCCTATATTAAATGACTTATGGGCAACCAATTAGAAGCTGCCAGCTAACTTACATGACTAGAGCTTTTACATCAGGTTAAACCACATAAGGCTACTTGTACAACTATAACTAATCAAATATTTTCTTTGTTTTTCTTCTGTGTTTGTCCTATAAAAAGCCTTCACCTCATGTTCCACTGATGGAGAACTCAGACTTCTTCCAATTTGGAGGCTTGTGACTCATGAATCACTATTTACTCAAATAAACTCTTTAACACTTTATTGTGCCCCAGTTTACTTTTTAACAATGTAGATTAAAAGACAAATTTCATCAAATTGATTCAAGAAAAATAGAAGGCCTTTAAAAATATATTACAATTAAATAAATATAATGTTGCATTTTTATATAAGCCTCCAAAATGTTAAATGATTGTAAAATGTCACCTACATTGTTTTAACAGGTAATATTTTAGTTTATAAATCTAATAAAATTTGATAAATTAAGGTAGGATAGCATAAGAAATTAAATTTGTAAGTAAATAAAATGCTAATGCACATAATCTATTAATGTATATGAAGAATACATTATATTCTAGTGGAATTTATCCTAGAAATGCAAGGTATACTTAATATTAGATAGCTGTTAATATAATTCACCAGAATAATAAATTAAAGGTGATAGCTATATATATTATCTTAATATAGATGCAGAGAAAAGTCAAAATTTAGTACCGATTTTTCTTTATAGTCATTATCATTATAACCATAACTCTTTGAAACCTTAGAAACAATGAACCTTCCTGACTTTATGAAAGGAATTTTTCAAACATGTAGAGAAAATATGGCACTGAGTTGTGAAATGATAGTTCCCCTTGCTGTTAGAAGACAAGGATGACTGCCATTACCACTATTAAGCTTTATAATAGTAGAATAAATTTTACTATGATAGTGAAAAAAATTCATTATTTTTAACAAAATAACTACTATAAAGTTATTATATCATAGCAATAAAATAGAAAAGATAGAGAAGTCATTAGGGCTGAATTCAAGGACCAGTTGTAATTATTTGCAGTTGAGCCAACACTCTGCTTCTAAACTCCAAGACATTCTATAAACTATTAGGATTAGTAAGAGTTAGGAAGGTTTCTGGATGCAAGATTACTACTCCCAAATCAATAACATTCCTGTCTTCCAAATATAAATTAGACAATGAAATTAAAATATATCATCCATGAAAGCCAAAAATGATAATGTTCCTAGGGATAAATCTATCAGGCTGTGCAGAAGTTTTACAGAGGAAGCAATAATATTTACTGAAGGGCATAAAAAGACCTAAGGTAATAGAGAACTATACCAGATTTATAAGAAAATGTATATGACTTGAAGTAGCAAATAAAAACATAAACTATGAAGAAAAAGATTGATACATTTGACTAAGTTAAAATTTGAAAATTATATAAAATAAATTAATAAAATACTAAAGATATTTGTAATACATAGGACAAATAAAATACTGATGTTTAGAATACATAAAGATTCCCTACAGATCAGTATAAATAGAAAAAAAAGAAGAAAAAGCAACAACAAAGTTTATAAAAAGGCCATTAGAAAGAAGAAATTTTAATGCCAAGAAATGTATGATAATATGCTTGAAGTCAGTAATAAGCAAGGTTGTGCAGACCAAAACAACAAGATACTATTTTACTTTTTTAAGATAGGAGAATTGTTAAAGGTCTGTTAATACAAAGTTTAGGTAAAAGGATCGAGGAGTTATAAACTTCCATACACTGATGATGGACTGAAAAATTGGTATTGCCATGTAAGAGAGAAATTGTTACAATTATCACGTAACTGTGAAAATGAGTACACCTTACAATCTAGCATTTATCTTCTCTGTGTAATATAATGTTGAATAAAAAAGTTAAATACCCCACATTCTAAAGGCAATCATCAATACAAGAGATATTGGTAAGACACGATGAGCCAACGTTGTTCACCCCAAGTTGTCACACCACATCACTCCATTCTCCAATGTTCTTGCTCAGGTCTCCAGAAAATAGAGTTAAAGGGAGGAGAGAGATCTTTAGAGGAAATTCGTGCAGGGTATTTTGGGGCAGGATGATGAAAAGATCTTAAATATGCACTCATCATATTGTGAACTACTTTAAAAAAGGGAAACAGCCACTTTATTCTGCAGTTATGTGATTAGTTCCTCAATCATGTGGACAGAATAAGTTAGAAAAATTCACAAATTTACAGGAATAAGGCAGGGGAGAAAGAGAGGGAAAGCAAATTTAAAGAGACAAAGCAGGGCAGAAAAAGAGGATGAGAGTGGAGCCCGCTACACTCCCATGTTCCTTTTGGCGAGGTAGGTTTCTTGTGAGGCAAAAGGAAAACACAGGAGGGAATTGTGTCTGAACCATCCTAAAACATCCCACATTACCGTTTTCTGCCCCAAGGAATAAGAGAATGCAGGGTGATGTGTCTCAGAGCCAGGCCTTGCCACCTACATTTTCTTTTCCTAGCAGTCAACGTCCCAGCTCTAGCCTGGGTTGAGGGAGGAGAGGAGGTGAGATGTAAATGGAGGTTGCAATTAATTAATGCTTTAAAACAAAAAGTTTATCTAAAATGAAAATGTTTAGAATTCGTAGAAGTTATTATGAAGAAACTAGAAGGGGTGATTCAGCAGAATGTTGGTAAAGAGAGTAACTACAAGAAAATGCAACTATTTCATGTTTTATGTACATCTGAATTGAGACTGATGGTTAAACTCACACATGTAAAAAAGGCATGATGCAGGGATTTTCATTGCAGTGTTGAAATGGTGAAAATTAGAACAATGTACGTGCTCATTAATTGGGATATTAACATGGATTTGAGTCAACAAACATGGCCACTAAGTTGTGTAAGACTACATACAGTATGATAATATTTAAAACATTCACTTAAAAAATATATAGTACTATGTTCTTAAGTAAATATATGCTTTTGTTGTTTGCTTGTTTAATGAGATAGAGTCTCTCTCTGTTACCCAGGCTGGAGTGTAATGGTGTGATCTTGGCTCACTGCATCCTCCACCTGCTGGGCTCAAGCAATCCTCCCACCTTAGCCACCATATTAGCTGGGAATACAGGTATGTGCCAGCAAGCATGGCTAATTTTTTTTTTCTTTTCTTTTTTTCTTTTTTTTATAGATGGGGTTTCAACATGCTGTCCAGCCTGGTCTCAAACTTCTGGACTCAAGCAACCTGCCTGCCTTGGCCTCCCAAAGTGTTAGGATTATAAGCGTAAGTCACCATGCCCGGCCTACAAATATGTATTAATACTATATATGTGATAATATAAAATAGGCATAGGGAGGATATTTATTAACAGTAGAATGGGGGAGGGGCAGTATTCAAAGAAATGAAGAGTCTCAGCAACGTATAATGTATTATTTCTTTCAAAAAAGAAAGATGTGATCCAAAGTTTGTGTAGTATTAACTTGATTTTTTAAGATAGTGAGTATCCTGTTATCTAGCATATTATTTTGTGTAATTAAATATTTAAAAGTTTTAAATAAAAATAATACAAATACATTTTGAAATACTTGACTATAAAATTTAGTTGAAATTGTAATGTAGATAATGCTAAATTTTTAGACTTTTATTTTTAATTGACATAACATCATACACATTTATTGGGTAGTTTGTGGTATTTTTTATATATATATATATACTTTGTAATGAGAAAAACAAAATAATTAACAAATCCATCACCTCAAATATTTATCATTTATTTGCAGTGAGAACATTAAGAATCCTTTCTTCTAGCTGCAGTCACGCATTGCTTAACCATGAAGATTTGTTCTGAGAAATGCGTTGTTAGGCAATTTTGTCACTGCATGTACATCATAGAGGGTACTTAACAAACCTACTTGATATAGCTGACTACACACCTAGGCTATATGGTATAGCCTATTATTTTTAGGCTACAAACCGGTACATCATGTTACTGTAGTGAATACTATAGGTAATTGTAACACAAATTGTAAGCATCTGTGTATCTAAACATAAAGGTACAGAAAAATACACTATTATAATCTTACAGGACTGCTGTCCTATATGTGGTCTTTCATTGACTACAATATTCTTATGTGGTGCCTGACTGTATTTTGAAATATAGAATACATGATTGTTAATTATAATCACCCCCTGTGCAATGGAACACCAGAACTTTACTTCTATCCAACTGTCACATTGTACCCATTGGCCAAATTCTCCCCATATTTTCCTCCTTTCTACCCTCCCTAGCTTCTGGTAACCACTTTTCTGCTCTCTACTTCTATGAGATCAATGTTTTTAGATTCCAAATATAAGTGAGATCATGTGGTATTTGTCTTTCTGTGTCTGGCTTACTTCACTTAATGTAATGTCCTCCAGGCTCATCCAAGTTGACACAAATGACAGAATTTCATTCTTTTTTGTGGCCAAGTAGTATTCCATTTTTTTTTTTTTTTTTTTGGTCTTTCCTTTATTTTTATTTTTTTAACTTTTTTTTTATTATTATACTTTAAGTTCTAGGGTACATGTGCACAACGTGCAGGATTGTTACATATGTATGCATGTGCCATGTTGGTGTGCTGCACCCATTAACTCATCATTTACATTAAGTATATCTCCTAATGTTTTCCCTCCGCCATCCCCTCACCCCATGACAGGCCCCGGTGTGTGATGTTCCCCTTCCTGTGTCCAAGTGTTCTCATTGTTCAATACCCACCTATGAACGAGAACATGCGGTATTTGGTTTTTTGTTTTTTCAATAGTTTGCTGAGAATGATGGTTTCCAGCTTCATCCTTGCCCCTACAAAGGACATGAACTCATCCTTTTTATGGCTGAATAGTATTCCATGGTGTATATGTGCCACATTTTCTGAATCCAGTCTATCATTGATGGACATTTGGGTTGGTTCCAAGTCTTTGCTATTGTGAATAGTGCTGCAATAAACATACGTGTGCATGTGCCTTTATAGCAGCATGATTTATAATTCCTTGGGTACATACCCAGTAATGGGATGGCTGGGTCAAATGGTATTTCTAGTTCTACATCCTTGAGGAATCTCCACACTGTCTTCTACAATGGTTGAACTAATTTACAGTCCCACCAACAGTGTAAAGTGTTCCTACTTCTCCACATCCTCTCCAGCACCTGTTGTTTCCTGACTTTTTAATGATTGCCATTCTAACTGGTGTGAGATGGTATCTCATTGTGGTTTTGATTTGCATTTCTCTGATGGCCAGTGATGATGAGCATTTTTTCATGTGTCTGTTGGCTGCATAAATGTCTTCTTTTGAGAAGTGTCTGTTCATATCCTTTGCCCACTTTTTGATGGGGTTGTTTGCTTTTTTCTTGTAAATTTGTTTGAGTTCTTTGTAGATTCTGGATATTAGCTCTTTGTCAGATGAGGAGATTGCAAAAATTTTCTCCCATTCTGTAGGTTCACTCTGATGGTAGTTTCTTTTGCTGTGCAGAAGCTCTTGAGTTTAATTGGATCCCATTTGTCAATTTTGGCTTTTGTTGCTATTGCTTTTGGTATTTTAGACATGAAGTCCTTGCCCATGCCTATGTCCTGAATGGTATTGCCTAGGTTTTCTTCTAGGGTTTTTATGGTTTTAGGTCTAATATTTAAGTCTTTAATCCATCAACAAAGTCTCAGGATACAAAATCAATGTGCAAAAATTGCAAGCATTCTTACACACCAATAAAAGACAGAGAGCCAAATGATGAGTGTACTCCCATTCACAATTGCTTCAAAGAGAATAAAATACCTAGGAATCCAACTTACAAGGGATGTGAAGGACCTCTTCAAGGAGAACTACAAACCACTGCTCGTTGAAATAAAAGAGGATACAAACAAATGGAGGAACATTCCATTTGTATCAGGATTATGCTGGCCTCATAAAATGAGTTAGGGAGGATTTCCTCTTTTTCTATTGATTGGAATAGTTTCAGAAGGAATGGTACCAGCTCTTCCTTGTGCCTCTGATAGAATTTGGCTGTGAATCCATCTGGTCCTGGACTTTTTTTGGTTGGTAAGCTATTAATTATTGCCTCAATTTCAGAGCCTCTTATTGGTCTATTCAGAGATTCAACCTCTTCCTGGTTTAGTCTTGGGAGGGTGTATGTGTTGAGGAATTTATCCATTTCTTCTACATTTTCTGGTTTATTTGCGTAGAGGTGTTTATAGTATTATCTGATGGTAGTTTGTATTTCTATAGGATCAGTGATGATGTCCCCTTTATCATTTTTTATTGCATCTATTTGATTCTTCTCCCTTTTCTTCTTTATTAGTCTTGCTAGTGGTCTATCAATTTTGTTGATCTTTTCAAAAAACAGCTCCTGGATTCATTGATTTTTTTGAAGGGTTTTCTGTGTCTCTATTTCCTTCAGTTCTGCTCTGATCTTAGTTATTTCTTGCCTTCTGCTAGCTTTTGAATGTGTTTGCTCTTGCTTCTCTAGTTGTTTTAATTGTGATGTTAGGGTGTCAATTTTAGATCTTTCCTGCTTTCTCTTGTGGGCATTTAGTGCTATAAATTTCCCTCTACACACTGCTTTGAATGTGTCCCAGAGATTCTGGTATGTTGTGTCTTTGTTCTCGTTGGTTTCAAAAAACGTCTTTATTTCTGCCTTCATTTCGTTATGTACCCAGTAGTCATTCAGGAGCAGGTTGTTCAGTTTCCATGTTGTTGAGTGGCTTTGAGTGAGTTTGTTAATCCTGAGTTCTAGTTTGATGGCACTGTGGTCTGAGAGACAGTTTGTTGTAATTTCTGTTCTTTTAAATTTGCTGAGGAGTGCTTTATTTCCAAGTATGTGGTCAATTTTGGAATAGGTGTGGTATGGTGCTGAATAGAATGTATATTCTGTTGATTTGGGGTGGAGAGTTCTGTAGATGCCTATTAGGTCCACTTGGTGCAGAGCTGAGTTCAATTCCTGGATATCCTTGTTAACTTTCTGTCTCATTGATCTGTCTAATGTTGACAGTAGAGTGTTAAAGTCCCCCATTATTATTGTGTAGGAGTCTAAGTCTCTTTGTAGGTCTCTAAGGACTTGCTTTATGAATCTGGGTGCTCCTGTATTGGGTGCATATATATTTAAGGTAGTTCTTCTTGTTGAATTGATCCCTTTACCATTATGTAATGGCCTTCTTTGTCTCTTTTGATCTTTGTTGGTTTAAAGTCTGTTTTTTTCAGAGACTAGGATTGCAACCCCTGCCTTTTTTTGTTTTCCGTTTGCTTGGTAGATCTTCCTCCATCCCTTTATTTTGAGCCTATGTGTGTCTCTGCATTTGAGATGGGTTTCCTGAATACAGCACACTGATGGGTCTTGACTCTATCCAATTTGCCAGTCTGTGTCTTTTAATTGGAGAATTACTCCATTTACATTTAAGGTTAGTATTGTTATATGTGAATTTGATCCTGTCATTATGATGTTAGCTGGTTATTTTGCTCGTTAGTTGATGCAGTTTCTTCCTAGCCTTGATGGTCTTTACAATTTGGCATGTTTTTGCAGTGGCTGGTACCGGTTGTTCCTTTCCATGTTTAGCGCTTCCTTCAGGAGCTCTTGTAGGGCAGGCCTGGTGGTGACAAAATCTCTCAGCATTTGCTTCTCTGTAAAGTATTTTATTTCTCCTTCACTTATGAAGCTTAGTTTGGCTGGATATGAAATTCTGGGTTGAAAATTCTTTTCTTTAAGAATGTTGAATATTGGCCCCCACTCTCTTCTGGCCTGTAGAGTTTCTGCTGAGAGATCAGCTGTTCGTCTGATGGGCTTCCCTTTGTGGGTAACCTGACCTTTCTCTCTGGCTGCCCTTAACATTTTTTCCTTCCTTTCAACTTTGGTGAATCTGACAATTATTTGTCTTGGAGTTGCTCTTCTTGACAAGTATCTTTGTGGCATTCTCTGTATTTCCTGAATTTGAATGTTGGCCTGCCTTGCTAGATTGGGGAAGTTCTCCTGGATAATATCCTGCAGAGTGTTTTCCAACTTCGTTCCCTTCTCCCCGTCACTTTCAAGTACACCAATCAGACGTAGGTTTGGTCTTTTTACATAGTCCCATATTTCTTGGAGGCTTTGTTCGTTTCTTTTTATTCTTTTTTCTCTAAACTTCTCTTCTCACTTCATTTCATTCATTTCATCTTCCATCTCTGATACCCTTTCTTCCAGTTGATTGCATCGGCTAGTGAGGCTTGTGCATTCGTCACATAGTTCTTGTGCCATGTTTTTCAGCTCCATCAGGTCCTTTAAGGGCTTTTCTGCATTGGTTATTCTAGTTATCCATTCGTCTAATTTTTTTTCAAGGTTTTTTAACTTCTTTGCCTTTGGTTCAAACTTCCTCCTTTAGCTCGGAGTAGTTTGATCTTCTGAAGCCTTCTTCTCTCAACTCGCAAAGTCATTCTCCGTCCAGCTTTGTTCCATTGCTGGTGAGGAGCTGCGTTCCTTTGGAGGAGGAGAGGCGCTCTGATTTTTAGAGTTTCCAGTTTTTCTGCTCTGTTTTTCCCCCATCTTTGTGATTTTATCTACCTTTGGTCTTTGATGATGGTGATGTACAGATGGGATTTTGGTGTGGATGTCCTTTCTGTTTGTTAGTTTTCCTTCTAACAGTCAGGACCCTCAGCTGCAGGTCTGTTGGAATTTGCTGGAGGTCCACTCCAGACCCTGTTTGCCTGGGTATCAGCAGCGGTGGCTGCAGAACAGCGGATATTGGTGAACTGCAGATGCTGCTGCCTGATTGTTCCTCTGGAAGTTTTGTCTCAGAGGAGTACCCAGCTGTGTGAGATGTCAGTCCGCCCCTACTGGTGGGTGCCTCCCAGTTAGGCTACTCAGGGGTCAGGGACCCACTTGAGGAGGCAGTCTGCCCGTTCTCAGATCTCCATCTGCGTGCTGGGAGAACCACTACTCTCTTCAAAGCTGTTAGACAGGGACATTTAAGTCTGCAGATGTTATTGCTGCCTTTTGTTTGTCTGTGTCCTGCCCCCAGAGGTGGAGCCTACAGAGACAGGCAGGCCTCTTTGAGCTGTGGTGGGCTCCACCCAGTTCGAGCTTCCCGGCTGCTTTGTTTACCTACTCAAGGCTCGGCAATGGTGGGCGCCCCTCCCCTTTCTTTGAATAGGAAAGGGAATTCCCTGACCCCTTGTGCTTCCCGGGTGAGGCAATGCCTCGCCCTGCTTCAGCTCATGCACGGTGTGCTGCACCCACTGTCCTGCACCCACTGTCCAGCACTGCCCAGTGAGATGAACCTGGTACCTCAGTTGGAAATGCAGAAATCACCTGTCTTCTGCGTTGCTCATGCTGGGAGCTGTAGACTGGAGCTGTTCCTATTCGGCCATCTTGGCTCCACCCTCCTTATCCATTCTTTTGTTGATGGATATTTAGGTTGATTTCATATTTTGGCTATTGCAAGTAGTGCTGCAATAAACAGAATAGTGCAGATATCTCTTCTCCTTACTGATTTCATTTCCTTTGAATATATATCCAAAATGGGATTGCTGGATCATATGGTAGTTCTATTTTAATTTTTATAGAAACTTTCATACTGTTTACCATAATGACCATACTAACTTACATTCCCACCAACAGTGGGCAAAATCTCCCCCTTTCTTCACTTCCTTGCCATCACTTTTGATTTAATCTGATTTGTCTATTTTTGCTCTTGTTGCCCATGCGTTTTGAGGCCTTATTCATAAAAGCCTTATACAGACCAATGTCAGAATCATTTCTCCTGTGTTTTCTTGTAGTAATTTTATAGTTTCAAGTCTTATACTTAAATCTTCTTAATCCATTGTGAGTTGACTTTGGATATGGTGAGAAATAGGGCCTATTTTTATTCTTCTTCATGTGGCTAATTTTTCCAGCATCGTAATGAGAAGATTGTCCTTACTCCAACATGTGCTTTTGATGGCTTTTTCTAAAGTCAGTTTGTTTTACACGTATGGATTTATTTCTGGGCTGGGTATTCTGTTTTATTGGTCTATGTGTTTGTTCATATGCCAGTACCATACTGTTTTGGTTACTATAGCTTTGCAGTATATTTTGAAGTCAGGTACTGTGATGCCTCCAGCTTTATTCTTTTGCTCAAGATTGTTTTGGCTATTTGGGGTATTTTGTGGTTCCATACAAATTCTAAGATTGTTTTATCTATTTCTGTGAAGTATGTTATTGGTATACTGAAAGGGATGTCATTGAATCCTATTGATCACTTTGGGTAGTGTGGATATTTAAACAATAGTAATTCTTTTATTCCATGAACACAAGGTATATTTCCATCTAATTGTGTGTTTTTGAATTCATTTCATCCGTGTTTTTTAATTTATAGTGTATATAACTTTACCTTTTTGGTTAAATTATTCCTAAGCATTTTTTTAGAATTACAAATGGAATAGTTTTTTTTTTCAGATAGTTCACTGTAAGTATATAGAAAAAGTACTAATTTTGTGTGTTGACTTTGTATCCTCCAACTTTACTGAATTTGTTTATTAGTTATAACAGTTTTTTTGTTTGAGTGTTTAAAGCATTCTATATATTAAGTCACATTGTCTTCAAATGGGCAGTTTGACTTTCTCTTTTTCTATTTGGATGCTTTTTAATTTTTTTCTCTTGTCTAATTACTATAGCTAGGGCTTCTAGTACTATGCTTAGTAGACGTGGAGAAAGGGGGCATCCTTCTCTTGTTTCAGATAGTAGAGAAAAAGCTTTCAAATTTTCCCCATTCAGTATGCTGTTATCTGTGGCTTTGTCATATACAGTTTTCGTTGTGTTGAGGCATGCACCTTCTATGTCTAGTTTTTTGAGAGTTTTTGTCATGACAGGATATTAAATTTTGTCAAATGCCTCTTCTGCAGCTGTTGAAATGGTTCTGTGATTTTTGCCCTTCAATTTGTTAATGTGGTGAATTACATTTATTGATTTACATGTGTTGAACTGTCCTTGCATCCCTGGGATAAATCTCAGAGATTCTTTCAGTTGCTTGATCTGATTTGCTGTGGAAGCTCTCTATTATATTTCCTATTTTATTCATTGAATTCTTCAGCTGCAAAATTCCTGTTTACTTCATTTTTATGATATCTATTTCTTTGTAAAATTTCTTACTAAGATCATGAATTGTTTCCCTGATTTCATTTGCCTATCATATTCTCTTGAATTTCACTGAGCTTCTTTAAGGCTATTATTTTGTCTTTTTTTCTGGCAATTTGCAGATTTTCTTTTCTTTAGGGTCTAGTACTAGAGATTTATTGTATTTCCCTAGTGATGTCATATTTCCTTGCTTTTTATGTTTTTTATGTCCCTTTGTTGATATCTGTATAGCTGGTAGAACAGTTATGTCTTCCAAACTTTACAAAGTGGCTTTCATAGAGAAAGAGTTTTACCTGCTGATAGATCTTAGTGTACCTGTAGGGAATGGTGACTTTGATTCCAAGTAGATGCAGTGTGTGTAGCCTTCATGCAGCTTGTTCAGGGACAAACAATGTCAGCGATAACTGTGGGTGTGTTAGTGACTTAGGTTAGAGAAGTTTGTGGCCATGATGGTGGTAGCAAAAGTTGTTAGGGTGCTTGGTGGCAAGGGATTAAGGGCTCTTCTATTCCTTTTTTTCCCCCACAATGGAGAGACTTAGCAGAGGAGATCCTTCTTGGTTTTGCATCTGACACAGCCTATAAGTAGCTTCAGTGGCACTAGGTTCCATGGCCCAAGTGCTCAGAATAGCTGTGGAGCTGGGTTTCTGATCTCAAGGTGTCATAAAGTTATTGTAGCACCTGGGGACAGGGCACATCACTGACCCAGCTCCAGAGAAGGTGTACTATGAAGGATTGGGCCCTGGGAGTGGGGTATACATACCATTTGGGAATCAGAGCAATAGGGTTCACAGGCAACTCAAGTCCCTGGTGATGAGGCATTGGCTAGTGGTGACTCTGGACTCTGAAACTTGGCAGTATCACAGACTCTGTGTGGCCAGGTTCAGCAGCGACAAGGACCCCATGATGTTGGATCACAGCTGTGGTTTCAGTTTTGGGGAGCAGGGAACATTATAGTGACGACTCCATTCTATGGGGTGGAGGGTACCTCAGCAGCTTGTACTCTAGTGGGCTACCATGTTTCCATCATCAGGGAAACATGGTACTAGAGTTGTTTGGCCTGTAGGGTGGGTGTTTCAGCCTAGCCACTGCTTTGTCTCCCTGGGACATGTGGTACCATTTCAGCTCAGCCCTAGGATGTGCAGCTGTTCAGCTTGGCCAAAGTATCAATTCTTCAGGTGGCTATGTGCTGCTTTAGCTTGGGCCAAAAGGATGTGATTGCTCTGAGCAGTCCAGGCACCATTTACCTGGGAAGCTGGGTGCCACTTCAGTTTAGGGACAGGGGTGCATAGCCACTCTGGGCAACAAAGTTACCTTTTCCAATGAGGCAGGTTGCTGCTTCAACTTAGGCACTAAGGAGTTGATTATGATAGCTGTGGGACACCAAGGTACTGTTTTCCCAGGAGAAAAGGGCATTCTTTCATCTTTGGCACCGTGGGACATGGTTCAGCAGCTACTGGGTGGGGTATATGGAGTAGCTCTGCCAAGGTACCATTTCCCCAGCATGGAGTGAGCAGCTTCAGCTTGGGCCTGAAGGAGTGAGGCACTGCTCTGACTGGGAGGAATAGATGGGGCACCTCCACTTCCTTTTGGCCCCATAAGGTAGAGTATAACAGAAGCTCCCAGCTTGGCTTGGGGATGCGGAGCCATTAAGTGAGGGTGGCTTGGCAGCAGCAGGGCTAAGCCTCAAGGATGACAGGGTGTGGCCACTTGCTCCCTGACCAAGACACACTCCAGCAGTAGTTACATCTCCACAGTGGTGTAGTGTAGTAGCCTTGCAGGCCACAGCAGCTAGGGTACAATTTTGGCTACTTCTCTTGGGGAGCACAACTTTCTTGACTCCAAACAGCTCTCTCAGCTGTGCTTAGTGCTTTTGAGAACTGTAGGCATGCAAGGTGTTGATGAGGGCTGCTGGGACATTCTTGCTGATCTTTTCACTAAAGGGAGAGGTTTCTCCTGGTTCCCATCTGATCCTGGGCTGAGTGATGGGATGATAGAGGCCAGGTGTTTCCTTCTGTTCTCTAAGTGAATGTCATAAGTTTCTGTGTTCAACAGAGTTTCTGCTACCCCTTTGACGTACTTCTGTGCTCCCCTTATCTTCACTAAAATGTAGTTGTTTATTTGTTTTTGCTGTCTTTGTGTTGAAGATCAGGACCAAGGGCTTCTGACATCACCCTCTATAGATTATGTTAGTTCTTTACTTCCATGGGCAGAGAATCACTTTGAGCTTACTTCAGATATTTTCTTGTTGTCATTTGCATCTTCATGAGTCATTCAAAATTTTATTTCTTTGTATTTCCTTTGAGAGGGTTAAGTGTCATTTTACTTTCCTCAAGAAGTTCTTCATTAAAACAGAATCAAACAAACATGAATCACCTTTTAAAATTTCTTTTTTATCCTAACCTGAAATAAAATTGAATATCTGAAAAAAGACAATTAGTGCCTCCTCTGCAAACTCAATTAAGCTTATCTAATTTTGATTTGCTATTTAGAGCAGGGGCTTATTCCAAGCTTTTGAAGGCATGGTCATTTTTTAAATATATTTTCTTGTGAATAGTTGTTGTACATCTTTAGACTGTAAGTCGATCTTTCAAGCCCTACTTTCCTTGTAAAGCTCTGAGCATGTTTATCATGACTGAGTAGTGACTCACAGGAACGTAGGACCCACTGTCTATTTTCTTATGATTCTTACCAAAAATATCACATATGTGGCTAAATATCGTATGAGATAAAATATTTTTCAAAGACCTTTGCCCTGTACATTATACTTAAAAATATAAGATTCATCAGGTGAGTAAAATTTTCCCTATTTGGCATGAGCATTTTGAAAGTCAAAATATCTGTTTCTGACTCTTATAATATTCAGGGAGCAGTAGATACCCCTAACTGTATTTACCAAAGCAAGACATCAACAACTGGCATGATAATTTATTTTGGGGAAAGCCAATGCCTTTACAAATGATTTCTACCAATATAAGAAGAAAATGGAGACATAAGACAATAATCAAGGAGGTAATTTTCATTAGCACAGTTATTGCCTGTCATTATTGAATCATATGTGCCTATTTGTGTAAGTGTTTGAAATGGTCTGCTCTACATTTATTTCTCTTGTGCCTACTTACTTTAGTTATTTCTAAATGTAAGGGAGATCCATAACAACTCTCAGGCAAGGCTTAAGAAAACTGTTTTGTTCGTGTAATCATACTTAAATATATATTAGAATATATATATATATGTATATGCACACAGAATTCTACATATATATTATGGTCATAAAAGTTATCTAGGCTATATATTTATATTTGTTATATATATGCATATTATACATTTATGTTTAATTATCAGCAGTCTCTTTCTTCTAGCATATAATTGCATTTTTTCACTCACATTTCTGGTTACACTTCACTTAAAATTATATTGAATTTTGCTATTTCTGGTTTTTATCTCTTATTCATCATCCCCCTGCTGTGTTTATGGGCGCTTGACAGTGAAAATAAGATTCTTAGGTTCATGGAATCTTTATTATACAAAATGTGCATTAATGTCATTTTTATCTGCTAATAGCCTCCATAACCAGGAAAAGCAATGAAAGGGAATGAAAATGATTATTTATTCACCAGCTTGGTAGAGCATGTCACTAATGAACCATGACTACAGATTGTCTGAACAAATTTCCAGGGTCAGGGAGGGTCCTATCTTTTGATTTTCTTGAAAATATGCGTAATAATTATTTACATTTTCAATCCACATTTATTTTAGTAAATTGGAAATATGGTAGGCATCATATAAAGCAGATATGATGCTTGATAAGTGAAAATGCTATTAAATTTCTTGTGATTCACTATAGCATTATACATTTTCCACTTGCTATGCAGTGGCATATTTAGATTCTCTTAAATTCTTCCATATTTCAGTTAATAATTGGAGAAAAATCTCTTCACATAATTTAGATTCTTAGAACTTTAAATTCAATAAATATTGATTCAGTGTGCCTGAGTTCATGCCAGTTGTGTGGAATATAGATATTAGTAAGACACTCAATATCATCAAGAATTCATTGCAGAAGGAACAGCATGTCAATGAATGTGCAGAATTTTTGAAGAAAGTTTTTCTGATTACCTTGTCTTTATTGCTGGGATTACCACCAATTAACATATAGCAGCTAAAATTTCACTTGCTCTAAAAACTTTTTGTATGTATGTCACGTTGTGAGATTTTTTAGTGACCTAATACTTCCATGGTGTGTGTGTGTGTGTGTGTCTGTGTGTGTTGTGTATGTGTTTACGTGCGTGAGTTTGGTTATAGTGCTTTATAACAATTATCACGTTTAGTCCATATGACAATTCTAAAATCAGCATATGTGTGTTTTTTCTTTCCTCATTCTAAACCATAGCTTATTTGACTCCCATATAGTACTGCTAAATTATTGCCATTGTACTTCTAGATCTTAAAGTCACCTTGTTTCACTGACTGAATGAATAGTTTCCTTGCTCAGGATTTTACTCTCAATTAGTGCTACTGTTATTATCCGTGATATAGCCAAGAAGACCCATCCATCACCCCCAGTTCTGTTTCTTGACTTCCTCACTTCCAACAAACTTTTAAAAAATCTCCTCTATTTAACATTCTGATAATTACATCCTAGACCTGTTCATATCCAGAACCATAACTATATCAGTCTGACCCCTTCCATTTGCCCTTGACTCTAATTGGTCCACTACAAACTATTTTTTACCTAATGTAGACCTCCAACCTGTCAATCCATCAAACTTTTCCACTGTCCAGCCTCCATATGCTATCTTCATTTCTCTTTGTACACACTTAGGCTCACAACCCATTATTTATCCAGTTTTTTGCAAACAATCTCCTGGACTCCCTTTTTTTCCTCTCTCCCTTCACTCTCTCTATCTGAGAACACCTTAATTTGGGTTGTAATATTCTTAAGTATTTTATCTTGCAACTATCCCTTATTTCTCTGAAACGTTAGTCTCCATTTCTACTGAATTATCCCCATCAGCTTGTCAATACGTGCCATTTAAAGCCAATAAAATAAAAAAAAATTCTGGCCTGGCGCGGTGGCTCACGCCTGTAATCTCAGCACTTTGGGAGGCCAAGGGGGGCGGATCACGAGGTGAGGAGATCGAGACTATCTTGGCTGACACGGTGAAACCCCGTCTGTACTGAAAATACAAAAAATTAGCTGGGCGTGGTGGCAGGCACCTGTAATCCCAGCTACTTGGGAGGCTGAGGCAGGAGAATGGCATGAACCCGGGAGGCGGAGCTTGCAGTGAGCCGAGATAGCGCCACTGCAGTCCGGCCTGGGCAAAACAGCGAGACTCCGTCTCTAAAAAAAAAAAAAGAAAAAGAAAAAAAAAAATCTGTTGACCCCTCCGTTCACACCCAACCATGGCTCCATTTCTCTGCTTCTTTTCACAAAAGCACTCCAAAAATGAGTTATTTCTCTTTCTTTTCTCCATTTCCTTGCTACTTTTTCACTCTTCAACCTACTCTACCTCCCTCAAGTTTTCACCTCTCTGCTACTATGTTGAGGTCAGCAAGGATATCTCTTAGCGCCAAATTTAATTTTTTTTCTGTCATCCTTTACATGCCTCACCAGTACCCTTGCACACAAATAACTGCTCCTTCTTGAAATACCTCCCTCCCCTTGCATACCTTTTGGTCCGTATGGTAAACTGACTCTTTTAATATGTGTTCCAACATTTCATATATGATTTATTATTTGAAAATTACATATGCAGGGATTTTAGTAATGACCATGGCAAAGTATAGAGATTGAAACATTATTTTTGTTTGTGTAGCATGATTATAAAGCCAATCAATCTGGTGGTGGCTTCTTGTCTTTACATTGAGGCCAGGGAAGTGTGATCCTGTAGCCAGCACTTGAGACAATGCCAATATTTTTCATCAGATGTACGACTGTAACATGCGAAACTATTCCCTTGATAGGCAACCTGAGTTACCTTGTCCTAGGAGTAAATTTTATGGAACCAGCCCAACCACCAAATTTGTAAGCATCTAATTTGCTGTGTCTATATTCCTTATTCTTAAAACTGGTAGATAAGTTTCTCTTATCTGCAACTAAATTCTGTATGATGCAGTTTCTGTAACATTCTCTTGTTGTTCTCTTTATTTCTCTTGTTGCTACTTTGGAGTCTTCTCAGCTAACAACTTTTCTTCTGCTCAACCTCAAACACTAAAGTACATCAGGTATCTATCCTGAAAGCATTTCTCTTCTTTAATTAAAAGAAGATTTAATTTATTTTCTGAGATAATCTCATTCAGTCCCACGCAGTATGTATAATACCACCTCTGTGCTGATGGATGCCAACCCATTTTCATTTTTGAGTTTAAATGTCTTATGAACTCTATGTTTTTATATCAAACTTCTTACTTCATATCACCACTTGTATCTCCTTGGCACATTCTAAAATACTCATTTTTTCAAAATAGTATACTTTTTCCTCCATTAGTACCTTTACTGCCCCATGAAATTTATCATCTTTCCAAGATTATATATTTTGATAAATTGCTCAGCAGTCAACCTGAATATCTCAAATTTTTCCAGAGATTATTTTATTTAATTCTCACAAAGAATCTTATGATGGAGGTGCTATCATTATTCCCATTTTACATATAGGAAAATTCAGAGATGTTAGTAACTTCTGACATATTACATAGTTAATGAAATGTAGAGCCAGGATTCAAAATGAAACCTATATTTTAGATAATTCTACTTTTAATGACTAAACTATACAGCTTTCTAATGAAAATGAGTGGTTTTAAACTTAAAAGAGCTCTAACATTAGTCTAATGTTCTGTACTGGGCTCAGGCGCTATGGTTAGAATCCCCATGGAATTATCACAGCAACCTCATGTAATAAGCATGTCTATCACTTTTTAAAAATGATAAACTATATATTCAAAGAGATTCATAAATTGATCAAATAAACCGTCACTAAGGAAGGACAAAGACTAATGGCAGACAAGATATATACAGAAAAGGTGTTTAGTACCCAGGTATTTATAGGACATCTTCTTTGTTATTGGGCTGAGGTTTCCAAGAGAAGTAAGCAGGATTCAGATTTAGTATCTGGAATTCAGTGAAAGGGAATAAGATTAGCAGAACTATAGTCAGGGGTTGTCATGTAGCAGGTCTTTATCTTTATCTTCCTCAGACAATGGTCCCCATGGAGAACAGTTACTTTGCATGAACAAGACAGACCTGCAGGATATGAAGCTGTGGTCTGTCCACAGAAGTACAGTGTGCGAAGAAAGAAGAGCCTCTAAATTAGGGGAACCCTAAGGGGAGGGATGAGTTTCTCTCATGATTTCTCCTTCTTCTCCTCCTCTTGCTGCTTCTTCTCCCCCTCCTCTTTCTATTTATTCCTTTCCTCCTTCTTCTCTTCCTCTCTACATTTTTTTTCCTCTGTCTACCACTTTTCCCCCTCCTTCTTCCAATTGTGTCCTTTATTTTGAAAGACATTTTCCTAAAAGTGAGAAAAAGAAATGTCAGGGTTGGAACTCTAAAGTCCAGAAGCAAGAAATGGCTGTTCAGAGTTGGTTACTGAAATCTGAATTTCCTTTCTTGTTATTTTCAAGAGTTCAGGGATGAGTAAAATTTCAGAGCACATCTTGTCCAGTAAGCCATTCATTCCTTGCTTTTAGTCATGAAGTCTTTGCCCATGCATATGTCCTGAATGCTATTGCCTAGGTTTTTTTCTAGGGGTTTTATGGTTTTATGTCTTACATTTAAATCTTTAATCCATCTTGAGTTAATTTTTGTATAAGGCATAATGAAGAGGTCCAGTTTCAGTTTTCTGCATATGGCTAGCCTGTTTTCCCAACACTATTCATTAAATAGGGAACCCTTTTCCCATTTCTTGTTTTTGTCAGGTTTGTGAAAGATCAGATGGTTGTAGATAGATGTGTGGTATTATTTCTGAGGTCTCTGTTTGTTCCATTGGTCTATATATCTGTTTTGTTACCAGTACCATGCTGTTTTGGTTACTGTAGCCTTATAGTATACTTTGAAGTCAGGTAGCATGATGCCTCCAGCTTTGTTCTTTTTGCTTAGGATCGTCTTGGCTATACAGGCTCTTTTTTGGTTACATATGAAGTTTAAAGTAATTTTTTCTGATTCTGTGAAGAAAGTCAGTGGTAGCTTGTTGGGAATAGCATTGAATCTATAAATTACTTTGGGCAGTATGGCCATTTTCATGATATTGATTCTTTCTAAACATGAGCATAGAATGTTTTTCCAATTTTGTGTTCTCTCTTATAGAGAAGGAAGCATTTTAAAACCCATACATGAGATGACTTATTTCGGAAGAAAGATTTTAGGGAGCAATCTTCTCTTATATCTGGGCATATATGGTTTATGAGAGAAAAGCAGGCTAAGGAAGAAAGGAAGAGTATAATTAAGCAAAATTCTTAGTTATCTCAATAGGAAACCAATAAAACCCTTGTGCAATCAGTAATTTACTAAAGAGCTGCATGCATATATGATTTGAAGAGATTAACAACTGGAAAACATAAAATGTTAAATGTAGGTTTTGACATCTAAAGGGAAGGATTTGAGTATGGAGCAAAACCATCTTTTAATTGAGAGATCTTCCTTATTATTTTATTTTAAAATTATATACATTATTACTTTTAACAATTATAACACAGTTAAACAGCAACAAAAGAAATTTAACCCATTAGGCAATACTGTGGGCCTCATAATCCATAACTTCTAAGACGAATCTCTATGAGCATATGATAAACCTTAGGTAGCTTGCTCCTATAAACCCGTTATGAATTACTTTACTCCATGTAGAAAATACACCACCAAAACCTATGCTGCCACTACAGAGCTCCTCTTCATGAATTAATGAAAATGCTGCTTTATGCTCTTTTTGTCCCTTTTGGCTGTAATTTGGAAATGCTTGGCTATAGTGCTGTTTAGAGATAGTTATAGGTGGTCGCTAACACTTGTTATGCATCATGCCCTATGGATCCCCTTGGATAAAAATGTTTTAATTACTCCAGTGGAATGAAGTGAAACACTTCACTGTATTGATTTGTCAGGTATAAGACATTCCTTGCTCTGCTAATTCTTGGCTCTGGCTGTTAAAGAGCCATGGCGTCTTGGTTTGCAGCCCAGAATTAGTTACATAAATAACTTCCTCATGGCTGGTCCACCTCCAGACTTGATGTGGTGCCACTATTTGTTAATATCATATCAGTGAGCAGACCTGCTCAGAATATGCAATGGCTTTCTTCATCTAGAAATTGCAGGAACAGTGACAGGTTAAGCACATGAATACAGGTGAAATAGCATTACAGCCCATGGCATCACCCGGAATTCATCTACATAAAAAAGCTATTTTCATGATCGGGTGGACCATATATGTCTACTCTGCTCCTTTTGGCCCTGCTTTTCATAACATTATATAACTTAAAACTTTTCTAAAAAATTCTTTCCTGTTGTTTTAACAGTGACAATTGTTATCTACAGTATATAGGATATAAGTATGGATTAATATTAGATTGATTTATTTGCATTGTGTTATATCAAAGAGAAATTATATTTCCTTACCACTCCACTTATCACCATAGAAATGACATGAAAACTCAAATAACCTGCCATCCATGTGATTATTTTCTGTGTTTAATATCGGTTGTCTCATACTGTGAGTAGGAGGAATCCATTTATTCCTGACTACAACTTAGATGAATGTTCAACATGTGAGGTGAAGGTTACTGTGTATAAGAAGTAACTATGATAATAAGAAGTCCAAGCATTTTTCAAATAACTTCATGCACAACTCTGCCCAGTAGGGGAACTCCACATGGAACAGGAGTAAACTGCTCTAATTGAAGTATTTTGGTGATATATGGAAATGTTAGGAAAAAAACAAACAAACAAAAAAATGAAGCAGAGAAACTGCTGTTGGTCTCTGGGAGAATTCTTTGAGCTCTCAGTGTGATCTGTTTATCTTGGACTTAGAAGCATATAGTCGTGCTGTGGTTAAAAATATTACTGTTCTATGCTCGTACATGTGCAAGTATCATTTTAATAAATTGTTTATCAAACAGTTGTTATCTTTCCCCTATTACAATCCCAACTGTGTATTTAGGAAAGATATCTGCACTGTTAAATCTTTCACGAAAATAAAGCGGTAGTTACAAAGATTTTAGGCCATAGCTGAAGAAAGGGGAAAGGATAATATACTTTCTCTTTGCCTTTACCTTCTACTAGATTAAAGGTATTCCTGGACTGTAAATATGATTTTGAGATATGTGATACAATTCTGTCACTCCAGAATATTTTGAAAGCCCCATAAAGCTATAAGATTGCTATTGGTTTTAAAATTTTTATACTGCGCTGCCTTTATTTATGAATACTAATCATTCAAATAACAGTGAGTAAATGGTATTCCAAAAACTTTTAACAGTCCCAAATATATAAGAAAGAATTATTTACTCAAAGAAGTCACTTTATGCAAATATACAATTGTAGAGTGATGTTTTGTCACATGTAGAAATAGATGATAATAAAGGAATAACAGAGAAGGTATTCGTCTTATAAAATCTAATTTATTATTGTTTTAGGTTTAATTGTTATCAATTTATTTTGGTAAGAGCGTTTTACAAAATAAAAATAAAAATCTCATGTCTAAATCAGAAGAAACAAAAGCAATTTTTAGCAATCCTTACACTAGTAAGGTTCAGAAAAATTGAAGAGTGACAGTCTCATCCTCAAGATTCCAATTTCTGTGTAGATTCCATAAATAATATAGAAGTATCACCTTGATCAAACCAATTTTGCTCTCATGGACTGAGTTTATTTATACACCTATATAAAAAGGTATATGGGTTAAATAATAATATCTGTTCCACATTGATCATACTATAATTCATACAATAGTTCTTTTTGTCTAAAATATAATTCTGCCTACAAATTCACATGTGAATGTTTAAACATTTTTTTACTCAAATCTCCTTCTTCACCATCAATCATTCTTGGGTATATTTTTCAAAAGGCTTATAATGAACTTTTAAAATGTTTAGAATAGATTTAGATATAGAGATTAGTGGCAAAGATAGTACGGAGTTTCTCTATATCCGTTACTCTTTCACTTGTTAAATCTTACCTTACTATGGTCTGTTTGTCACAATAAATGAAACAATAGTGATACATTCTTATGAACTTAAAGTTCATACTGTTTTCATATTTTCTTACCTTTTAACTATGCCCACCTTCTGTTTCATGATAACACATTCAATATTCATGTTTACTCAGGCTCCTGTTGACTGTTACAGTTTCTCAGATTTCCCTTGTGTCTGGTGACCTTGACATTTTTGAAGAGTACTACTCTGGCATTTTTACAGTACCCTGTAATTGGAATGTGTCTGATTTTTGTCTCATGTTTAGGCTGAAATTATCCTTTTTCGTGAAGAAGACCACAGAGGTAAAGTGGCATTCTTGATACGTCATATCTAGGAGGGTGCACACTGTCAACATGAATTATCACTATTGATGTTAACATTAATCACTTGGCTGTGATAGTGCTTGTCATATTTTTCCACTGTAACAGAAACTCCTTTTCCTCCTCTTTCCATACTCCTTGGAAATATTTCACTATGTGCAGCACACACTTAAGGAGCTTCTTTGAGGGCAAAACTTCTTTGAGGGCAAAAACACTTCTTTGAGGTCAAAAACATCCTAATAAACCATTTGGCATTTTCTCTGTGTGAAATATTTGTCTACTCTTTCCAGCTATTTATTTATTAAATCATTTGTTTATATTAACATAGACTGATGAACATTTATTTATACTTCGGATTAGGAACCAATAGTATATTTATGTGTTGCATAAAATGTTAGATTTGATCACTGGGAGCTCTTTCATTTGGCTCCTATGTTGCATTCAGATACCCCCATACTTGTGATTTTTGTTTTTTGTTTAAAGCACTTTACCTTCCGGCACTACAAGATGCTCCAACACCATGTTGTACATTTCCTGCCCCAGTTCTAGAATCAGCCATTCCTCCCGGAATCCCTGGTTTCTTTGATTAGAAAATGATATTAGAAAATAAGATCTAAGCGTTAGAAGCACTCTTTACTACCAGAGTGTCATTGCCTAAGCCCTCTCAGCTGACTGAGCAAGAAAATAGCTGTGTGTATACAAATGCATCTATATGTGAATATCTGTACATTTTTTATAATACATCCATCTGTATCTATATTAAACTAAACATGAGGTTATGTTGATGCCTCCAACTCTAAGCCATTAGCGTATGGATCATTCTAATATTCTACCCTTGCTTATCTGTAACCTCCCACTCCAATAGTTTGAAATCTAGCTTCCACTAGCTACCATCTATTTAATTATTTGATACTAGTATATAAATGTATTGTGGTTTTAGAATTGTTCACCTTTACTTTCGTTGAAAGCAATGTTATCAATTAGAAATGAAGGTTTAT
Source organism: Homo sapiens (assembly GCF_000001405.40). NCBI lineage: Eukaryota > Metazoa > Chordata > Mammalia > Primates > Hominidae > Homo > Homo sapiens. Next base: position 102,188,869 of record NC_000009.12, read on the forward strand.
TATGTGCAGTCCCTTTTGCCTTTAGTAATATAGTCCCCATTCTTTTCCAAAGATACTTAAGGTCACTGTATTTCCCTAGCCCCCACCATCCGCTTCAGTGAGATTGTTTCATAATCTGTAATACAGGTAAACTATTTTCTCACAGTCCCCGTTCCATGCTGGGAGTCCTGAAAATCCCAAATTCTTTAATTTCTATATGCTAAGGTTCACTCTTTATGTGGAGAAGTTCTACGGTTTTGATAAATGCACAATAGCATGTTATTCTGCATTACAAAATCAAATAGTATAGTCTAACCACTATTAAAAAAAATCCCCTCTGGATATTCAGGCAACTCTTCTACAACCCTCCCAAATCTCTGGTAAGCGTTGACGGACTTACTGTCTCTGTAACTTTGCCTTTACAAAATTGTATATAAATAGAATGATACTATATATAGCATTGTTTGACTTCTTTCTCTTAGCAAAATATACTTAAGGTTCATCTATCTTTTCACAAGACTTGATAGTTCATAGTGTTTTATCACTGAAGGATAGTGTTCCACTTTATAGATATTCTTCAGCTTGCTTATCCATTCATTTATTGAAGGACATTTGGTTGCTTCTGATGTTTAGTGATTTTGAATAGAACTGCTATAAATCTTTGTGTGCGTATGTTAGTATGAACATAAATTCTCAAATTGATGGGAAATACTTAGGAATGCTGTTTCTGCACCACATAGCAAGGCTTTGTTTGGCTTTATAAGAGGCTACCATACTGTATTCCAAAGTGGCTATCTCGTTTGACATTTTGACCATTAACAATTGAGATTTCTTATTGCTTTACATCTCCACCAATAATTTGTATTGTCAATTTCTAGATTTTTAAGCATTAGACTGGGTCAGCACTGGTATCTCATTTTTCAAATTTTCATTTCCTTAATGGATAATGAAGTAGAGTATGTTTTCAGATTTATTTTCCATTTGCATATTTTCTTGGTAAAATGTCTGCTCAGATTTTTTGCTCATTTTTATTTGGGTTCTCTGTTTCTCTTGCTGGGTTTTACGACTTACTTGTGTATGTTGACTAAATTCTTTATCAAATATATGCTTTGAAAACTTTTTCTTCCAGTCTGAGACTTATTTTTGATTATTTTAACAGTGTTTTTGACAAAACAGAAGTTTGGCATTTTTTCTCTGCTTTTCTTCTTTTTTAATACTTTTTTTATTATACTTTAAGTTTTAGGGTACATGTGCACAACATGCAGGTTTGTTACATATGTATACATGTGCCATGTTTGTCTGCTTTTCACATGTGGATGTCCAATTCTTCCAGCATCAATTATTAAAAAGGTTATTCCTTCTCAACTCTATCACCTTGGTGGTTTTGTTAAAAATCAATTGACAATATTTATACTAAGTTTTCAAATGAAACAGTGTAAGTCCTCCAACTTTGTTCTCCTTTAGTTTGTGTTGGCTATTCTTATTCTTTTATCTTTCCATATAAACTTTTGAATTAGTTTGTTAATATTTACAAAATTGCTTCCTATGATTTTGATTTACTTGGATTGAATCTATAGATCTACATTTTTCTTGCTTAAGAATAAGAGTGACAGTTTCCAAACCCTACATTTTGAAGCTGAAATCGAAAGTCAGTATCCTTTGATTAAAGATGATGTGTTATTGGTGTCTACTAGTGAGGGAATAGGACGAGTATGGTATTCCTTTGTCATGATGGATAGTATTTCAATAATTTGTTTTCAAGTAAGATTCAAAATTAGAATATATTTTGTATGAGCATGATATACATGGCTGTCTTAGTGAAAATAGTAATTATTCCCTCAATTTTTCTGTCACAGAACAACTCCCCTCCTTGACAAATTTCAGAGTTACATTTGATATCAGATACCCTCATCCAAATGAGTTTTCTTTGATTTCATCTGATTTACTAGTATTTAAAAGTTACTGACAAAGTTGTCAAAAGCCAAAATTGTAATGTTCCTTTGTTATGTCAATGATTTGGTGATGTAAGTTAGTAGAAAATCAGAGATGGCCAAAACAACCTCCAGCTGTTAAAGGATCCCAGCATAAGTTATCAGAGTAAATGCCACATTCCCCCACAGGTTTGTCTGATGTAATGATATATTCAGTGTTAATTAACAATAGAGAACCCATTTGGGAAAATATAGGCAAGGTTGCATAGGAGTGACACAACAGTTAAGAACCAAAAATTACAAATCTGGAAATCCTAATGCCCAATGAAATCTTAGCTAGACAGTCGTTAAAATTATGTAGATATTTTTAAATGTTAACAGCAGTTAGCACAAATAGCATTTTTATTACATGCAGAATTAAATTGTATTATCTTAAATGCTTGAACTGGAAAATATGTATATTTAGTTACTTGGTCAGAAAATTGGAAGAAATTTAGTTATATCCAATATCTTCTCATCATGCATAAAACCAAGACCTAAGCAATCATACGATTCTGGGAAACATTTACTATTTCAAAAGGATTCTCACTGTTATAAATAATTAAGTAGGTGTCATAACTGCTTTTAAATAACACACACACACACACACACACACACACAAATTCTGAAACTGTGTCTAAGTTACAAAGGCCTGGGCTAACAGTAACCACAAAAATGTTTAATAGCATGTTGTATAAAGTCATGGTAGATAATTTACTTATGGGCAATGGAGCAAGATATTCTTAAAGATAGTTCTCAACATATGACAGCATTCCAGCAAGAAAGTCCATAAACCATATCTCCTCTACATTTTTCCCACATAGAAGGGAGACATAACTTTCTCCAATAAGGTGCAATAAGAATATTTGCAGAATAGACATCTTTAACTGTCCCAAACTGCCTAAAGCCTAATATTTGCATGGATATGTGATTATAAAATATTAGCAAAGCAAAGGACAAGGGCAAATAAATATTGATGATGAAATTTACACAAACTCTGAGTAAATTGCACAGATAAATGAACTATCTAAACTAAAATTAGTCTTCAATTAGTGTAGCAGTCCTAAATGGAAATGGTGATTATATTCATGAGTATTAACACACAACACAGACCAGACTGTTAGCACAATACCGACCAGAGTATTAGCTCACAATACAGACCAGAGTGGATTATGGTAATGGATCAGAGGATGATATGGAAGCAGCAACAGGCCAGAAAGAATGACGAAAAAATATTTTTTCTCTAGAATATTATGAATAAATTAGAAGTTAATATTAGTTTAAAAGTTATGTATGTGAATTCTAGTTTTTCATGTGTGGTTATGAAGGCAGTTCAATGTGGACAAATTGCTCATATTTGATTTCTGTTCCTAATACTTAACAATGGTATAATATTGGAGAAAGATTCATTTTCCTCATCATCTTAGATAATAAATTTAGCAGTACCTCAAAACCATAGGATCATTATGAGGATTAGATAATATAATAAATGCAATGTGCTTAAAAGAGTGTCTTGCATTTAATAATTTCTCAATAAATGTTAGTTTCTTCATTATATGTTATATAAACAGCATATAAAATGCTATGTAAAATACATATGTGTATTATAAATTATGTATATAATAGACCAGTAAAATTTTGAATATTATAGAAATATGTTAAGCACATGTATAAACTAAGTTTTGTATATTTTTATTTAATATTTTTGTTAAAATATTTGAGAGTGGGGCATTTTATAAAGTTGATTCTATACAGTAAATTAAATTATTTTCAATTTATATTTTTATCCTTCTATCCATAAAATCAAAAAGAAAAAACATTCTATATGAAGTAACCTGACATTAGAGTATCACATTAAGGAGAAAAATCTTTATTATTTTTTGAATGAGCAATCTTCAGTAGGCCTCATATTAGTGAATGTAAAATGCTCTTGATTGGCATATGAACGTTAACCTACCTTTTGTGAAAGAATATTTATAAATTCCATTAAGGGCATCTTTTATAGTCAAATGACTAAATTTTTCTTGTAATTCAATTATACTTGCAATCTAGAGTCACCATATAATTACATACTTTCTATTTTATGTTTTATTAATTAGATTTCTTGAAAATGAGGAATACAACATCACATCTGTAAATGACTTGTCATGTTACAATCCCTTACCTGAACTTAGCAGACTACACACTCACAGACACACATACACAAATGCAGCACACACACACACACACACACACATACACATCTACATACTGTTTCAAACTTTGAAGTAGAAATAGCTTGATTCCAGCAATATGGAGTATAATTAAATGACCACATAATTTATCATCTAAAGCAGAACATCTTGGAAGTGAAAGGTGGCTCTATTTATAATTACTCAGGAATGACAGATGTTAAAGAGATTGTCATAGGCAAACCAAAATGCATAGTGACCCTAACTGGAATATGGGAAAGAGAGCATATACAGTGTTCATCAGCTTGCAAGATAGTAAACACTCTTGAATTGATTTGAATCCAGGTGCTAACTTTTTATAGCTGGATAAGTTAATTTATAATCTCCTTAGTTATGAGTTTTCTCATCTCAACAGATGGATTAATATTACCTTTCATAGAATTGCTATGATAATCTGATGTGAAAATGTATAAAGGAATAGTTCTGTTATGTAAACACAAGATAGGTTAACCGCTGTGTTACTACCTCAGTAGTTTTAATGATAAAACTATTTGTTTTCTGGTGATAAACAACACACATTAGTGTGTTTGTTCTGTTGATAAATATGGTGAATTAAAAATAATTGCATTTAGGATGTGCTTTGAAATGAAACGAGTTAGATCATATATATTTGTGAGCCTTCTGCTTTCGTTCTTACCTATATTGATCTCTACATACACTTTCTTCTTAGTTTGTAATTTTCCTGAATATAGGGACCATGTCAGTAATTTACTTTAAAAGATTTAGAGTTTCTCTAAATATTTCTTATATTTTGGAACAAAAATAGTTCTACCTAACTTTAAGTTCCATTTCTGTAATAAATTAGGTAACTCTTGAAGCTGCTTTAAAACTTTAACATGTAGTATTTTCCTGTGTTCTAATGTAAAATATAATCCATAAATACAAAAAAAATTGGGGATTTTTTTTTTCAGATTCCATGTAACTTTTAATCTGTTCTGGATATATCACTCAATACTGAAATGCATAAAGCGTGTTCCAAAATATGCACAAACTTTTATACACAGAACACAAAACTGTACACTTAATATGGTTAAATGCTAAATTTTATGTTATATCTTTTACCACAATGAAAATTTTTGAAAAAATGAAATACCAGCTAATGCATACTCTTTGGATAGTTAACAAAATTTGTGAAGATACAGGCCTCTCAAACATTATATTCGTAATCTTCAATGTGTCAGCAAAAACGAATCCATTTATTAATGAAATGCAATGAGGCTTAGTAATTTTAAATATATTACTGTATGCATACAAAGATTTTGCATATAGTAGAATCTCGAATATAAGTGTCTACCACAAAAGCCTAGAGTTATAAGGGATTGCCCTACAAATAATCTTCCTCCAATTACAGATATCCTTTTAAATGACATTTGCAGCAAAAAAACACCATCCCCGTTGTACACTCTCATTCACAAAGAATTTATTATTTTACAAAAAATCTCACTCTGTGGCTAAACAACGTGTAAGAAAATTCAGTGTTGCCATGACAGTAACTTGTACTTATTAGTTCAGCTTCTAGATTTTCCACCCTAATAGGTAAGTCTAATCTCTTCTTTGATATTTCTTCGAATCTGTGGAAAGAGCTACTAAATCCTCCGTTTAGTTGTTACCTTGTTTTGTTTCATTTTAGGATGAAAGGAACTTATCCCACTTCTTTTAATTATCCTGGTAATCAAAAATTTTATTCACAGAAGTGATTATGGTAGATGTAGTCTAATTTATGCAAATTACAGTGGGTTTGCTATACCATTTTTTCTGTATATTATATGCCAATTAATACATCCTGAAGGTAATGCTACTTTGTACAGTTAGTTTTAGACTGCAACTGCATTTATTTAAAAGTGTGTGTAAGTATATTTGTATTTGATGTAAAGTGTGTTTGTGGAGTGTGTGTTCCAAAGACTGGGATTCGGCATACTTATTTACCAAAATTGTACTGCTTGTTTTTGGAAAATAAATGTTTTACTCATTACTTTGTCAGTCTGCCCTGTCCGCATTCATTATACCACTTGTGCTCATGTTCCATTATAGTTAAATTATCAAGCAAAACTCTCAGAGACAAAATACATGGTGATCAGGACATATATAACAACATGAGAAGCTTTTTAGCATCAGTAGCACAAAAAATACACAAATAACCAAAATGCTCATAAAACTCTCAAGTTGAAAACACTGAAAATGATAAAGGAAGGGCTGATTTTTTGTTGCATAGAAGTATGAGGCAACGAGAAAGGGAGATGGGAGTACATATTGAAGAGAAGGCATTGATATAAGAGTAGTCTTAGTCCAGAAGTCATACTTGCTACTTGATTGTCATATTTGTATTTTATTTAAACACACATATATTATGTTAATTAATAGACTAAATTATGTTATACTTTGATATCTATAAAATAAAATATTTGATACATCAAAATCAGATTTCATAATAGAAACATCTCAGTCACTAAAAGGACACATTATTCGAAAGAATGTAAAGAGATCTGTGACTTTGGCTGTCTTTTAACTTCTCTTGGCTGTTTCCTCACTTTAAATTGGGCAATACAAACTAATCTTCAACTTACCTTCAAATGAGAATAATCTATGATTGAATAATCTATAAGTGATCTTAAAGAGGAGTTACAAATTCTACCAAACGCCAAGTTGTATAAAGTTCTGAGGCTATTACCATTCTGCCAAATTTTCTGAAAATGCAGCCTCTTTAGTTCAGAGAACATTTGTATGGGAATCTCTCTTCAAATGGAACTCTTTAGACTAAGGTCTGTGATTCATATTTATATCTCCTTCCTTAAATCTTCTCATTCACAAATTCACGTGTAACTCTGATACCCCACAGAAATAATCAGTATCCATATCTCACTCTATTCCCACATCCCATCCCAAATGAAAAGCAAATTCTACAGTTACCTTATAACTACTGTTGCTGCCAGAGTTCTGAGAACAGTTCCAACTTCTATCTAAACCACTGTACTGCATGACCAAGAGATGGCAGAGGTCTCTTCTGCAAATTTCCAATCTAACCCAAGTAGGTTTGTTAGAGATATTCATTATCAAGTTTAAAATGTTGTCCTCTCTTCCTAGTTTACTGAGCAGCTTTGTCACAAGTTGGTTTTGGATTTTGCCAAATGCTTTTTCTTCATATATTAGTAAGATATTAAAATTTTTCTATTTTAGCTTGTTAATGTGATAGGTTAATTGTTCTTTTCTTCAATCAACAAATATTTATTAATATTTTTAAAAATTTTATGTTAACTGACATAATAGATACAGTTATTAGATGCAATATGATGTTTTGGTATATATTTACAATGTAGAGTGATTAAGTAAGACTAAAAGAGATAAACTAAAACATATAAAAATATGGAGAGATGCATCTCTATTCTGGGAGTGGCTGGGTCTTTCCTCATTCCTTAGATACCTGGGAATACTCCCACTTCTTTGGGAGATGAAACCCAACATAACACTATAGTTGATTTTTCACATAAGGCCCATATCAGTGTTATGGAAAAAAATACTTGATGTTTTGTTTTCATTTCATTTCGTTTTCATTCATTGTTTTATTTATGTAAACTTTTTATTTTAGAACAATATGATTTTTACAAAATTATTGCAAACTAGTACAAAATTTTACCATTCTTTCCTATTATTAACTTTTTACTTAGTATGCTATATTTGTCACAATTAATGAACCAATACTGATACATTATTAGGGAGAACAGTTCTACTATTTTCTTTGTAAGTCAGCTATCAAAGTTATTCTGCCTACCCATCATATTTAAGATTTTTCATGCCATAGTTACACACCAGTTTACTGTGTCTCCCCACAAAATACAAGAGATTGTAAAAACTCTATGACTTGTCCTGTCAGAATCTTTTGCCCAAGTTTGACATGATGTTAGTGTGAGGGGTTAATAATCCCTCTATGGAGAGCTAAGAGCTCTCCAAAAATATTCTCTCGTAATACCCACACTCCCTTCCCACTTACTTGCTGATATTGTTGAGGGTGTTAAGTCTCCCATAATCTGTTTTACCCTTCCTCTGAAATTTCCCCATCTTACCCAAGAATATAACATCTATTATTTGTTTTCTGTAGCTGAGATTCTGCAACACCTTCGTTGTTATATCAGAACAATACAAATCAAAACCACAAAATGATATATTGCACGCTTATCACAATTGTTAAAATAGAAAAGAGAAAATACGAAGTGTTATCTAAGCTGCAAATGAACAGATTGTCATACCCTGGTGGTGAGAGAGTATGTACTAGTAGGACCATTTTGGAAACTATTTGACAGAATCTACAAAATTTGAATATATTCTTAACTTGTGATCCGGACATTGTATATCCAACAAAAATGTGTATGGGTGTTTACCAAAAGATAATCACTAGAATGTTTGTAGCAGCATTGTCTAAAATAGATTCAAGCTGGAAACTACCCAAAGCCCATCAATTGTAGAATGGACAGATAATAAATAATGATATGTTCAAATCAGGGAAATTATGCCAAAATAAGAATAAATAATCTTAAAAAATCCACAGTTAAGGTTCCCTTTTCTCTATATCCACTCTAATAAAAGGTAACACTGTCTTTTATTGACTCCCTGTCAAATACCTCAATAGTAAAAATTATGAGCCTCAATTTCTAGTTCCCATTACATCTGACTTCTATGATTATATAGAAATGTACTATCATTCATCTTTTTGTTAATAGCCATTCTAACAGGTGTGGCTGATATCTAATTGTGGCTTTAATTTACATTTCCCTGATGATTAGAGATATTGAACATTTTCTTTTATATCTGTACACTGTTGGTGGAAATGTAAATTAATATAGTGAATTTGGAAAATAGTATGGAAATTTATTAAAAACTAAAACTAAAATTAGCATATGATCCAGCAAACATACTTCTGGGGTAAATATCCAAAAGAACTGAAATTGGTATGTCAAAAGGATAGCTGCATTCACTTCACATGTTCATTTTAGCATTATCAACAATAGCCAAGAGATGGAAGCAATTTAAGTGTCCATCAACAGATGGATGACAATAATGTGGTATGTATACTGAATGGAATACTATACAGCCTCTAAAAAGAAGGAAATTTTGTCTTCTGTGACAACACAATTGAAATTGGAGGACATTATGCTAAGTAAAATAAACCAGGCGCAGAAAGACAAGTATGGTATGATCTCACTTATATTAGTATCTAAAACAGTTATTCTCATCCAAACAGAAACTAGAAAAGTATTTATCCGAGGCTAGGATAGGAAAGGGGGAAAAAAAGATAAAAAAAAAAAAAAGGAGATGTTAATCAAAGTGTACAAAGTTTCAGTTAGACTAGAGGAATCAGCTTCGGTGATCTTTTGCACCATATGGTGGCCATAGTTAATAATAGTGAGTTACATATCTCAAAATTTCTAAAATAATACATTTTCAATGTCCTCACAACAAAAAATGCTAAGTTGGTGAGGTAATAGATTTATTAATTACCTTGACTCTATCTTTCTACAATCTATTCATCACATTGTACCCCATATATAAAATTATTTGTCAATTAAAAATAAATTTTAAAAAACAGGCCAGGCGCGGTGGCTCACACCTGTAATCCCAGCACTTGTGAGGCCAATGTGGGCAGATCACGAGGTCAGGAGTTCTAGACCAGCCTGACCAACATGGTGAAACCCTGTCTCTAATAAAAATACAAAAATTAGCTGGGTGTGGTGGCGCCCACCTGTAATCCCAGCTACTTAAGAGGCTGAGGCAGGAGAATTGCTTGAACCCAGGAGGCAGAGGTTGCAGTGAGCCAAGATTGGCTACTGCACTCCAGCTTGGGCGACAGAGTAAGACTCTGTCTCAAAAAAAAAAAAAAAAATCAGTGAACTTCAAAAACAAAATATCTGTTGGAGAATTGCTTAATGGCTGAGCATGTCATGTGGTTGATCTTAGAGTATGTACTGGTGTGCAGGTGAGAAAAATGTATTTTGTGTTGTGTTGGGTGGAGTATTTTGTAGGTATCTGTTAGGTCTAGAGACCATTATCCTAAACAACACAGTAGCAGAAAACCAAATACTGCATGTTCTCACATGTAAGTGGGAGGTAAACATTGAGAACACATTAGACACAAACCTGGGAACAATACTGAGGCCTGCTTGGGGGAGTAGAGCGAGAATCGAAAAACTACCTACCAGGTACTATGTTCACTACCTGGGTGATGAAATCATTTGCACACCAAACCTCAGTGACTTGGAATTTACCCATGTAACAGACCTGCACAGGTAGCCCTGAATCTAAAATAAAACTTGAAAAAACAATAAAAATAAAAACATAATGTCGAGTTAGTAAAGTGTGACACAAAATAATACACGTTGTATTATCTCATTTACCTAAAGTGTGTGTTGGGGGAGAAAACAAATCAAAATTGTTGTAAATCAGGCTAGTGGGCCTCTTCTGGGGGAGATAAGGACTAGAAAGGAGTGTGATAGGGTTTCTGTGGCAGTTGTTCTTTTTCTGAATTTGAATGCTGGTTTCACAGATAGGTTTAGTTTGTGGAAATAAGTCCAGCTATTTATTTATGTTATGCCATTTTACTGCATGTCCATTAGGATCTTAAATTAAATTCAATCCTTTGACCTAGAGCTGCAAGGTAAGTAAAACAAGATTTAAAAATTTAAAAACTAAGGAAAAATTATACCATTAAATTAATATGGTATAATCACTCTTTCTTCAGGTTGCTCTTAGGTTAGGCTTTTTCCATGCAAGTGACAGAAACTCCCTTGTTATTAGATTCTTTCTGACGGTAGCAATTTTTATTCTAATGAAAGGTAGCACTACCTCTCATTGACGTCCTGTTGAGTCCTTCAAAAAGCAAAAGTTTTGAACCTTAATTCCCTGGTTCCATTATACCTAACTTCTATAATTACACAGGAATAGTCAAAAAGGTATGTGCTAACACATCTTATCACTTAGACTTTCCATTTTCTCACAACACCAACAATTAACAACTCCATCATTCTTGTGACTACGCTTTAAAACTTGTCATCTCAGTATATTTCCACATCATGAATTTTATTTTCTCATAATTCATGCCCTTAACTTGATATTATATCCTCACAATAATCTCATTTCTTTATTCTCTACATCTGTTCACGCCAAGAACTCTGGTGTCTTAAAAAGTTCTGGTGGTAGTGGGCCGGGTGCGGTGGCTCACGCCTGTAATCCCAGCACTTTGGGAGGCCAAGGTGGGCGGATTACAAGGTCAGGAGATCGAGACCATCCTGGCTAACACGGTGAAACCCTGTCTCTACTAAAAATACAAAAAATTAGCTGGGCGTGTTGGCGGGCGCCTGTAGTCCCAGCTACTCGGGAGGCTGAGGCAGGAGAATGGCGTGAACCCAGGAGTCAGAGCTTGTAGTGAGCCGAGATCGTGCCACTGCACTCCAGCCGGGGCGACAGAGGGAGACTCCGTCTCAAAAAAAAAAAAAAAAAAAAAGTTCTGGTGGTAGTGGTGCCGTCAGGACTCTCTTGGATTTATTCCCTTCATATCAATCTTAATTTTGTTCATATATCACTTCAGTTTCTGCCATTATCTGCAATTGCTTTATCTTTTTATAATTGGACATTTTTGTCAATTCAATAATGCCGAGTTCTGTATCTCTACCTAGAGTCTCAAACTCTATTGGAGAAAATGGTATAACTTATATGTTGTCGCTATTAAACCTGTGTATTCTACAAATGTGACTAGATCTTTGACACATGCATCAGGTCATACTGCTTCAGTAATGTTGTGTAAGAAACCACCTCAAAATTTGGTGACTTTAAACAACAATTTATTCTCACAGATATTTGCTTCAGGTGGGGTGACTCCACTTTATGTTTGATATCTATGGGTCTAGGTTGGTTCCACAAGTTCTCTCATTCTTGGTCAAGTAGGCCAGCTGGAGAATTCCTCTCACAGCTATGGCAGAGGATCAAAGAATGATGTCTAATAATGCAAATGATTTCTACATATCTGCTTGCAGCGCATCTAAAATCCTTTGACCAAAGCAACTCACATTGCTGAGCTCAAAGTCAAAAGTGGAGAGTTGTGTGGAAATTTAAATGGCAAAAAGCAGTACACAATGTAGGTTAACAAACCAATACTACTGTATGTTTCTGTTTGGCTCCAAATATAATTCCCTCATTGTAACAGACCCTTTGTCTCATACTTCACAGGGAAAAAGTCTGTTCAGCATGAATTTCTACAATTTTCTATCTTCTCATTTCCATCTTTGGATTTACCTGCATTTCTTTTTATGCTTTGCTATATCTTGACATTCTCAAAGTGAAAGAAAAATTTGTTCATTTTTAATGTAGTCTCAAGCTACTTCTTAAAAATTTAGATTCCTGTTTCTCAATTGAGCACATTCTTTCTGTCTTTCTAATATCCGTGTGTGTGTGCGTGTGTGTGTGTGTGTGTGTGTGTGCAGGTACACATCCTCTAACTTCTCCTGCCTTGTTTATATAAGGTGCTGTAAAAAAGTCTATGTCCTGGAGGCATTTTGTTTAAAACATAATATTCAAAATCAATTATTTGGGGAAGGCAAATGTAAAACAATATATATTTCATCTTTTAAAGCCAATTGCTTTAAGATCCTTCAGGGAGATTACAGGAAAGAAAAAAGTTTGCCTGAATTCTAAGAACCCCGTATAATTAAAGCTGTTACAACAGCAGTGGCAAATTAGCAAGGTCAATGCAAACTTCTCAGGACATACCTTCCTTGACTCCTCTGGAAGTGGTTCCTTTTGCAGCCATGTTCTTATCCTTTGGGATGAACCTTGTATTCTCTGTCACCTGGGAGAATGGTCTTCTCCAGTATCATATTTCTCTGCTTGCTCCTTGTATGTCCTTTTTAAGGTGATTTTGAATATCTGTGATGTAATCCATTTTGTCAAGGTTTATAATGTAACTACCCCGGAGAAACTATATTTTTTCTCAATTTGATTTCCTTGAGGACACCATATTGTCAACCCAAGGCATCCTGTTCTTCTCTTTTATCCACTTTTCTTAGTTCCCATCTTGCTTTTTTGAATTATTTCCTTCCTCATGAATGCCTCTGATATTTTACCTGGATAGAATTTTTCCTATGGTGAGGTGAGTAATGCTACAAAATGTGATTTATTTGGCTCCCATGTTCTCCAGGGGATTGTCCTACTACTGTGTTTTGGATTATTTTGAATTCCACTGTGAGTTATAATAACAATTTATCTATGAAATAAGCCATCTCTCACCACAAAAGATTGACAGAATTGAAAAATGTTTGCCTACAAAAGAAGGAAAAACATACAGAACTGTTGAAAAATGCATGACGAATTCCTACTGACTTATTTAGAAATTCTAGCTACTGTGGGGACAGACAACTCAAATTTCAGTTACTTTTTTTTTTTTTTAAAGTAAACCTTTCCCCCAAGTGGATTGATTTGGATCATGATTTCAGAATGCTTATAAATTCATATGTATCCTCTTGAGAAACTTCAAACTCTTAAAATAGTTTTAAGAATGTCTGTTTGTTGACAATGCTAAGAACTTTGTATTTTTAATAATAAATTCAGTACTATAAAATCCAGGTGAAGGAAAAAAAAAGAAAAAGGACTGAGATGATTCAATAGATAGCTAAAAAAGCATGTCTTCAGGAGATAGATGTTTCTGGTTTGGCTAACTCTCCTCCCACTTTTCTTGTAAACAGTGGTCATTTATTTAAAAGACAACACAACAGGAAAGTAAAATAGTATAAAACAAAACTAAACTAAAATGACAAATATAAAAATATTGAAAAGAAAGAACTTGGGGCTATCATCAGAGAAGGAAGGACTGGGTCTATGAGTTAGCCCTGTTCTTGGTCTGGCCTGAACCTGCTCATAAGAACCCAGAGTCCTCAGATTTTGATTCTTCCTCTTTCCAGTGGCTTTTCTCATGGTCAAGCAAGGCTTGATTTTTCTCTTTTTCTACAAACCTGTGACTCTCATAATGCATGCATAACCAAAGTATTCAGTAAGCAGTTTAGCAGTGATATTCTCAACAAGTGGAGTGTTAACCTGTACTCTTTTTCTTTGCTTCTGTTTAAAATTCTTAGACAAAAAGAGCCCAGGAACATGAAGACATGATGTGAGTAGAAAAGGCTCACCTGTGAGTTTGAAAGCATGAGTGTCAGAATAACCTGAAAGCAATGTTGAATCCAAATGAGCTCTGAACCCAACTGTGAGCCATGCTTCCTGCAGTTTTCACATTAATCTTAATCACTTTTAAAATCATTTTCTTTTTATCGGTGTTTTATCAGTTCATTCCCTTTATCTTCCTAAAGGGGGTTTTCACTCATAGAAAAATAAAGAAACCTTAGACATGATTCTTTCTACCTGAATTTTCCAGGGGACTTCCTGGATCATGGATGCCAGTAATCACCAAGGATGTTGTATTATCCACCAAAAGTTGTCTGCTCTCTTATCCAGTTTCTTTGCAAGGCCCTGAAGGGAAAATTGGATAGAACACACCTGTCCATCCGTTTACTACTCTGAACTCAATTCTCCATTACATGGAGACAATCTATTTCTCTACATAGATAACCCGACAGGTTGGACATGTACAGAAGAATAAAGATTGGCATTTTAGTGAATTTATGCATCTCCCTCTTTGCCTCCCCTTACTCCATAGAGCCAGAGGATGTAAATAACTCCAGCAGGGGAACTATCTAACAATTGGATAGTGTGTTTCTCTTTAAAAAATCAGCATGCTGTTATCAGAGAAGTGGGAATAGAGGCTGGGAAAACAAATACATAAAATCTCAAAGGAAAGAGCTTCCAGACTCAGCTATAACAAATAGGATCCTCTGTACAGACTCTTTCTACTTCTGATCTGAGTTTTCTTCTTTGAGTGCCCCTCTCCTTTTCCATTATACCACTTTCTCAGGTATCAACCCAATTCCCTCTCTTAGGAAAAAAAAACTATATCTTCTATGGGAATAGGCTTCTTTTTGTTTGTTTGTGTCCTCCTATTTTCTGGAAAGGAAATATATTCTTTGGGTTTCATTTGGGTGAAGACTGACATTCCCTTCTTTCACTATTCACAGTTCCTGAAAACAGAGGACTCTAATCTTCCTGGATCCTACAATTCTAGATCAATTGTGCTACCACTTAGTTACCTACAGGGAGACATATTTTCATATTATATCAAATATGTGGTAAGCATATCATATGGAAACTACTGACAATTATCATTGGAAACCATACAGTTTAATTGTACATTTGGGAAAGAATATTTCCCCTACTAATTCCTATCCCCCAGCCCTCACTTACTGACTTTAAGAGCATATGGTTGTTTCTTTTCACACTTAAGAACTCGGCATCACTGAAACTGTCACTAAGCTGCTCCTCAGCAGCTGCTCCTCTATTTTCATTCTGGTCCTACTGTTCTAGAATGAGAAGGAGTTAGCTAATCCATCTTACCAATTAACTATTTCTATCCTCTGCTTGTCTGTTGCTATGAACTGAATTATGTCACTCCCCACCCCAAAAATCATATGCTGGTGCCCTAATCCCCAGTGAGGTGGTATTTAGAGATGGGGCCTTTGGGAGACCATTAGGTTTAGATGATGTCATAAGGGTAAGGTCCTCATGATGAGATTAGTGCACTTAAGAGATAAAAGAGTCTTTATTTGTTCTCTCCTCTTCTTTCCACCATCAGCAAATCAGAAACAGAGCATTCATCAAAAATCAGCCATGCTGGCACCCTCATCTCGAACTTCCAACCTACAGAAATATGAGAAAATAAATTTCTGTTGTTTAAACTACTCAGTCTACAGTATATTGTTATGACTGTCCAAGCCAACTAAGACATCCATGAACTTAATGAAGTCAGGGATTGTGTATGGCTTCTTTATAAGCACTCACAAGTACTTTACATGTACTTTATAACTACAGATGTTCTTCTACTTATGTTCCAATAAATCCATGGTAAGTTAAAAATATTATAAGTCAAAAATTCATTTAATGCATCTAACCTATCAAACATCATAGCTTATCCTAAGCTATGTTAAACTTGCTTGGAACACTTACATTAGCCTGCAGTTGGGTAAAATCGCCCAACACAAAGCCTATTTTATACTAAAGTGTTGAATATCTGATGTAATTCATTGAGTACTGAAGTATGGCTTCTACTGAACACATAGATTTTATACCATCATAAAGTTGAAAAATAATAAGTTGAACCATCATAAGTAGGGTACTTTCTGTACCTTATAAATACTTTATAAGTACTCGATAAGTATTTGTTGACTTAATAAACATAGGTCATAGGCCAGAGAGACAAAATCTGTTTCATAACTCAAATAGTCCAATCCAACTTATCATGGTTAGAAAATCTAGACAAGGGATGATACCTAATACCTGTAGTAATAAACTTTATTGATTTGGGAGGAGAATATTCTTGCATTATGGGTGAGCCTTGCAGTGGCAGCAGAAAGGTGACTCAGGAGTAGGACTCTGGCCATCTCTCAATCTCTCTTTATATCAGAAAGAACACTTACATAATCGAAAGCCTGACATATCTGAGCCATCTTCAAGAATTCAAAATGTAAAAGAAAGGAAGCAATTAAGTTGGTTACTTTCAAGTAAATCAAACAATGTCTATTTTCCTGTAAGAGTGAAGTCATAAGACCCCATTAAAAATCACCTGTGCTTATGTCCAGCGCCACAGAAAATATCACCAGGCTCTTTCCATTGCCTTATTTCCAGCACCTTTTAACATTGGCTTTATGCATGTGATTTTCTCACTGTTTCTTTACTGCTAATTTCTGCCTCACTGCACAGAACTTTCAAATTCTTCAGCAGCAATTTATTTTCTTTAATCCAGTTTTTTCCACTAGATGATAGTGGTTCTACGCTATATTGCCCATGGACCAATCTCATTCCTTTTCCACATATCAGTTCCCTAGTTACCCTGGAGGGTGTTCAGAATTCATTACTATTGTTCAGAATCCATTACTTGAATTTATAGTTTTTAGGGATACTCACTTGTATCCCTACCCCGTGCCTTGGGGCCATAAGTTCAAACCAGGGTGGAATAAAAACCAAAACCAAACCAAAACAAAACCTCTTTAGATCTGAGCCTGTTTTACCCATGTGGCACTTGTCATACTGGAGTTGAGGCTTTCATCTCTGCAGTTCTGGTATAAAATCTTGGGAGGTCATGTACATTTTCAGGAAATGCTAAGATCTCTGTTACAGAGAAAAGGGAGTTATAGGTAGGGAAAGGATGATAGGGCCTCTTGACACTATGTTTCCTTCTGGTTTGTTTTGTTTTGTAGTGGCAGCACAATGGTGAATCATTTCTCGCCTCCCACAGGACTTCACAGGACAACCCAACTCTTCTAGCAGTAGCATATTCTAAGTACGAATGTCCAAATCCAGAAAGACATGCTGCCATTGGTATTCACAGGCCTGGAAAAAGTAATGAAATGAGGGAAAATATTCAAAGATACGGTGCTGCAAATAGTTTTGTTGGCAAGAAAATAGGACATTGCACAGAATGTACTCAAATATTAGTTTAACAAGCGGCCAGGACATTCTGAGCATGTAAGGAACTAGAGAAGCAGTTTGAAGAAAGTATGGGAAGTTTGACGATACCACTGAGGAAAATGGTGGTTGGAAATTACTAGGTGCAGTCAAGAAAAAAGGAAAATTTTCAAGAAGTATCAAAGGATTTAGCTGAAGTGTCATGGATTTAATACCATAAATGTAAAGAAACACCTATCCAAACAATTGTGTGAATTTCTATGACAGTGACCAGAATTGTAAAGTCAAGTCGAAGAGTGGCTGAGGTGTTCATTGGTTATGTATACAGGGTATGTGACAAGAGAGTTAAGGGTGCTGACAAGACTGCTTTGAAGTGATATCTCATAGGATATGGGATGGATGAAGAGGAAAGGAAAACTGATAGTTTATAATCTCTTCCATTTTCTGACTGTAACTTTTATTCCCAAACTTAATGTTTATTTTGGTTTTTATTTCTGATTATTTTCTGAAATGTATTATTAATGGTCCCAGAACATTTAAAGTTTATGCACTCACCAACACATATTTGGTGAGCATTAAAATAATTTTCCCAAAGTATAACTTTTTTACTTTTTATTAGTGTTGCAGATACATTGTAAACTATGCATCTAGTCTTTATGCACAATAAGCAAACAAAGTATAACAATGACAATCTGTAAAAGAAGCAAATGGCAGAAGGAAAATTCACTTTAAAAAATTCTAAATTCTGCTATTGGAGAGAAATAATCAATAGCCATCTCTATATGATTTTGTCAAAGGAAATGTTTACATTAGGCTCTGTGACAAGAAAAATATATTTCTACAGCCTGGTTTCATTGGTTCAATATGAGTAGGTGGGGTTTAGTTTTTTTTTTAATCTCCCAGGTATGTATCATCTTCCTATTCTTAGGACCTTCTATACATTTTTATGGTTTTAAAACTTTAATTTTTTTTTATTGTTGTGAGAAGTATTGAATCTGTATCTACAAAGAAGTAAGCTATGTTGAGGAAGCAACTTTCTTCTGTTTATTAATACAAAAGAACTATTTTGATTCTAAAAGCAAGTCAGAATAGGCAATTAATCCATCTCTTCATTGAAGGCATTCTTTAATTTGTAATTAAAATTGCTTTGAATAAAAAAATTATGGAACGTTAATTGTATATAGATAAATATCTGTAGATACTTCATCATGTAAAGTAATGTGACCAAAGGCAATAATGTTCCAGGGAAACAAACAGTAGCTGTAAGAATTTCTTTATTTTCCTTTGCTGGAATTAGTGTCAACTCACTGAGAACTAACAAATGGGAATACCAATGTAGGCACCATAAAAATTAACCTGTGGAATTTTGATCACTTCAGGTTATCAAGTCAAACACTCTGTCCTGATAATTTTACGTTTGTTAATAACAGCCCACAGTTAGGCATACCATGACAAATCTGATAAATTTTCATGTTGCAGAGTAAAAATTGATTTGTTAAGGGGGAAAAAGAAATTATTTCCCATGAAAAAAATTCACTGCTAGCTTTTTATTTTTCCCAGCTTAGTAAATTACTTTATTTTAGAAAACCTGAAATAGGTCACCACAGAAATAAAGTGAGCTGATCCCAAGTGTCTCCTTATCTTAGCCTCTGAAAACAGAGACTTGAGTTTAAATCATAGCTCTAACTCTTAGCTAAGATACTTTGGAGAGCTATCCAGACCTTCTAAGTCTCAGATTTTTTCCCTTTAAAACATAGATAGTGATAGTGTCTATCTCACATGGTTATTGTGAGAATGAGATGAGAAATACATGCTTAGTATTAGGCCTAGCAACAGGAACCATTTAATAAACGTTAGCAATAATTAGTAGTATTTTTATAATTATTGAAGGATGTCATACATATTGTTCTTTTTGTTAGGGAATAGCTACAAATCTCAGATAATCAGCATAATTAAAATAATATATTCAAATATAACTCGCTTGCAGGATTTTATTGATGATTTGGCTCATAGAAATTCAATTGCTTTTATTAGCATTTTCCCATTTGTAGTACATAAAATTATTATTATTTTCCATCTGGAATGGTTTGATAACATGTCTTGCAGTGTTAAATATTTTTAAATGTTGCCATCATTTTAATGAATAAATTTAAGACATTGAACTGCATAACATAGATTAATTTAAAAACTAAACATTAGATTTGTTAAATTATAGAGATATTTTAGAATTTGTCCTATTTGAATATGATTGAACTGAGATTATCCCAATTGTTTCATTTAATCATGTTATGAAGAAGGTGTTTTTATTATAGAATGTAATACTGTTGAATATAATTTTAAATATATGTATAATGGTAAACAATCTATAAAGTTTAAAGGTTTAATATTAATGCCATACAGGATTTTTCATGATTCACTTTCCTGCCTATGTTTCCAGTTTTATAGCATGTCACTCTATAGGTGTACTTATGCTCCAGTGCTTACAGGCTACATCCTGGCCCCAGCCTTCAGTTTTTTCAAATGTTAATTCTGACTAAGAAATTGACTACCTGCTGCTTTCCCACTTTCCATGTTTGACACTTGTTATGTCATCCTTCAGAAGTCAATTAATCCTTTATTTTCAAAGTGAATTCTTCCATGAACAGCATCTGTTCTCCATCATGTCTTTCTAGGCCAACTAGAGATATCATCTGCGTGTTAATAATATATGAAGCAAATCTCTACTAAAGGTTTGTGTTTGTTTCTCTTTGTAAGTCTGCCTGTTCCAGTATTCTACGATCTTGAGGGGAGGGAATATGTTTTACTCATTCCAATACACATCTCAGTACTTGGCACAAACTAAAAACATAATGAGTAGTTGTTCCATAAGCAAATAGATGAATAAAGAGATAAATAACGAATGCTATTTTTGGTTCTTGGATTACTTCAAGTTGCATTTGGCAGGTCTCTACAGCAATACTGAATTCTTCAAATAAAGTAGATATCATCAGTTTCGAAAATGAAATTTCTGCTACGACTATAATTCTCAGTTAAATTTGAGGTTTGAATATAACAGTCTAGAGCTTAATAGATTTTATTTAGCTAAAATGGTTTTATTTTTAAACAAAAACCAAAAGTAGGTTAAAATAGATGTTTTGATTATACAATCAACCTTATAATATTTATAGAACCCTAAAAAAGGGACACAATTTTAGCCACAGTCTGTATTCCCAACAAATAAAAAAAATTCTTTCAATTTTTCTTCCAGGTTGTATTCATCTTGAGACTTAAATTTACATATTTGTAACCATTCTGTAGAAGCAAGTTTATATCCTGCTTTTTCAGCTTTTTGTTGCATATTTTATACAAATTGTTCATGTGTCTTTATATTCATATTACCTTTTTGAAAATGTTGGTATAATATTATTTTGCATGAGTATATCTATTTAGATATTTAGCTTGGATTCTTTCTTTTACAGTATAAAGATACAGTGGGTATTTTTGTCATTTATTTTTTTCACTTTCTTGTACCTTATCACTTAACATTATTTTTACATACATTTTATATGTATTTACTAAATAACCCAATGTATCTCATTCTAAAAAATGTAATTCGTGTATCAGAAGGTTGTAAATGCTTTTCTCCTAACTTTCCTCTTCCCTACAAGCTATTTTGTTAACTTTAAATAAAAGCAATCCAGTCTATCTGAAGATAAAACATACTTTTTATGTTATGTTTCACAATTCAATTAATCTTTTATTTTCAAAGCGAACTCTTCCATGAACAGTATCTGTTCTCCATCACTTCTATCAGAAGTTTGAACATACACTTCTCCTAACCATCCTCTTCCCTTAAAAGCTACTTTTGTTAACTTTAAATAAAAGTGATCTAAATTATTCTATTTAATAAACAATAGTAAAATCAGAAATATATCCAAATTATGCTATTAGCCATGCATTCAAATTTTTTTTAAAAGTAGGTAATTTACTTTTTATCTAGTATGCCAACATTTTTATTATTTTAACAATAACAAAATTTATGGCAATAATTTTGGCAAAGCAGTCAAAAGAGCTTAATAGGAAGAAAAAAAGTCCTCATAATGAATAAAAGAGTAAGAAATCTCAGCAAACTGATGGAATATATAAATATATAAAAATAAAACATACACATTTCAAAACTGAAAAATTCAATATGTGTGATAAAAAAAATTGTTGGGCAGTCTTAACAGCAGAATGGCAATAATGGCAATAAGTCAGCAAACTTAAAAAATAAACCAGCAGACATTCTCCAATCTGAGAGAAAGGAAAAATACACTATAGACATTGAATAAAGCCTCAGTAACCTCTGAGACAATTTCTGGGGTGCTAATTTGTGCTTATTAGAGTTATTAGTCTATTAAAATGTAAACACTGGGTTTTTAACGGTGTGATATGGCTCATAACTGTGATAGTATAATTATAGTATTTGTTATACATTTAATTTTTTACAATTTTGCATTGTACTTGAGATGACTGGTTGCTGTCATCCATTTTCTTTTTCCTTCATGATCTACTCAGTCCTCTGCCTTGGAAGAATAGGTTTGTAGTGACTACATCAACTTTTGCTTTAGCTTCTAGTTGGGTCTGGCTAGCAAGGAGAGTGGGAGGTTGAAGGGAAAAAGGAATGTGAAGTCTGGGTATTTTTTTCCTGATCTTGTCTCTGTTAGTCTTAGGCTGTTGGTCTTGCCTCCCTCTGCAGTCCTTTCTCTGAGACTATTCTAAGAGCCTCCTTTCCGTATCTCTTAGACCTAGGAGTGGTAACAACCACACTGTCCCTAATTGCATTAGAGGCTTCAGTATACCTTGAGCTTACCCTTCATCTTCCTTACAGCTTTTTAATTAATCCCTTTATTAAATCCTCCTGAATTATCATGATTTAAGTATGTACCAATTGTTTTCTGATTACACTGATACAATGACAAATTGAACAAGTTCTCTGCTCTGTTTTTGAATCTTATCCATATTGAACTTAATGTGGTTTGCATACATTATCAACCACATACTTGGTTACATTGTCACACTTCATCTATCTATCTATTAATAGTATTTTGTGAACATTTGTTTTAAGCTAACTTGAGCCTTGCCTTTTTTTCCTTAAATACATTTCTATGTTTAGATATAGAGTTTTAGAATAATAAGATTCTTTTTCTCAGAAATTTTCCTTCCAAATCCTACCGGTGTTTAGAACACATTAGGAACACTGTAAATATTTGTTGAGTGTATGCAGAAATAAATGTGAATGAGTGAGCATGTAAATAAATAAATAGCATAAATAAAATCTTCAATTAGTTTTAAGTAGTTATTTGTTGCCTTATATGTTTACAATATGTATTTATCTCCAGCTCTCTCATTTGCTATTGACAATAAATAAGAAGGAAAAAACTTTAAATGAAACAATCCAAAAACACTATTGCCTTGTCTGTGGAAGTATGCTAAGGTAATTAATCCTTTGTGTAGAAGCTTGGGTGCCATTAAACTGAGAGTCAATTAGACTGAAGATCACTGAGATACAAATTACTCACTAGAGACCTGAATTGGGAACATTTGAGTGAAAAGTAGTTGAATCTCATTGTTCTATTCTAACTGCTTTATTAGGCAAACTTTTTGGGAAGAAATTACTAGAACAAAGCCTTTGGTAAACCTCCTCATAGAAGAAAGGGGTAAGAGGTGATATGACTTATCCTCTCTTTGACCCTCTTATGTAATTATCATATTAGAGATTTTATAAATTTTAAATCACATTTTTGAATTAGACGCTAATCATTGTACATTATTATTTTAAGTTTCTTTGGAGTCTAATTGGCTAGTATAAATTTAGACTTTTTCAGGTAATCTATGTTAAATTTATAGCCTAAGTTTTTTTTTTTTTCCATTTTGGTCTTTCTTAAATTTTGTTATCAGCATTATAATATCTTTGTAAAATGTGTTTGGCCCTGGTTACTGTAAACAGCGTAGGTATGGTATATTCCTTAATGCTTTTGAAGACATATGTAGTTGCATCTTCTCCTGGCACATTTTCTGTGGTAATTGTGGAAAGCATTTCATTTCATAGTGAAATGGGAAAGTGAATTATATTTCCTGGATCCTGTGTTTTCTTGGGTTAATGTTGATCATAGTTGGTGAAGTAATAATTTAGGAATCATCTTTGAATTAACCCTTTCCTTGATCCTCCACGTCTAATGCATCACCAAGTCACGCTGATTTTACCACCAAAACATTTCCCAAAATGCATTAAATTCTCTCCACCTCCAACTGCCCTACAGAAGCTAAGGTCATATCTTGCATTGACTTCTGAAATAATTTCCTAACTGATTTCCATTCTTGTCTTTCTGCAATCCATTCCCTGACATAAATAAGATGATGCCATTCTCCTCTTTAAAGTACTATGTCTATATCATCGTTCTCCAATATTTGCTGCTTGTCCTTGGTGAAAGTGTATTTTATGCAACAAATTAAGGCTACGTATGTGACTTGCTCTGGTCAATAAAATATAGGTTAATAAAATTAAGTGTGAGGAATGTGTGCCTTTCTGTACAAAAGCTTTAAGAATCACCTCTGGGACACTTCTCAGTGATCCCTTACCCCTACATAATATCACATATGGTCCTTCGTTTGGTAGAAGCTGGCTGCATGTAGAACATGAACCATAGGAAAGAGTAGAAAAGGTAGATTTAGATTCTATCCTGTAATATGCAGAAGGGAACGTGGCAAGAGGGTTGGAAATGAGATGGATAAGCCATCCTTGAGTGTCTTCCACAGTCACTCAAGAAAAGAGGCAAGATACAGCAGAATGATTTGTGGAGCTGTACAAGATTAGGCTGAGGTGAAGTAAAATGAGGAAAATAATGTTTTTTCACACCTTAAATTCTACCTAAGTATTTCTAGAATAATTTGTTCATCTTATTTTCTCAAACTCATCAGTTATCTCCCAGTATAAGAAAAAAGACAAACTTCACTTAAAGCACCTTTTTCATTCTCATTATTTCTAAATGACATGATTGATATATTTCTTCTTGGTTTTACTTATGTCTTCTTTAAGACTCAGATAAACACTTGAGATTGAAAATTCATTAAAAATTACTTGCCAGAGGAGAGTAATTGCCAATGCTAGGCAGAATAGGACAAATAAGACACTCTAGATAATTTGTGTGGTCCGAACTGTTTGTGATTGTGCTTTAAGCTGGAAGGAAATTCATAAAGAAGAAACTATGCTACTCTAAGTAACTGAGTGGAAATCGTATTTGATTTTGTTTTATTTTCAGTGCTGCAATAAAATAGTAAAATTGTATTTGATAATACTTTACTTTTTCCACTGAAAGATTACCATACAAAACTGTATTATAGTGGCATTTTATTTTTCTTTTAGTTTTTATTTTAAATTATTATTTAAGTGTAATAGTTGTACATATTTACGGAGTACATATAAATAATAAATGCTTGATGTGATGGAGTTACCCTTATTTGTTCAGTACACACTGTATGCCTGTATAGTATAGTGACTTTTAAATACAAGAAACCTATGCTGATATTCTTTTTTAGAACCAGAAAAAAAAGAAATATGGTCAGGTCTATATGACAAATAAGATCACAGGGGGAAAAACAAACCACATAAATTAAGATGTTACTAACATTTCCCAGTTTAAAAGCATCCTGCCCCTAGAGAAAATTTTACATATATTATAAGTAGAAGATATGGTAAAACTGCAAAATCTCATCTGCAATTGCCTCTATGATATGTACAATAGATTTTGTACATGGTTTTGTGACACTCAGCTGAGTTGTGGAATGAATGCTAAAGATGGCTATAGCTTTGGATATCCCAAGAAATAACATTTTAAGTGATAAAGATGTATACCAGTTGGAAGTTTTATGTTAGTGAAAGTGACAGTGATTTCAGAGATTATTTAAGCCATCTAACGTCGACCTGAGTCTTATATGTAAAACCTAGGCTCTACTTTTCCTTCAATTTATGTTATTTAAATCATGCATGGGTGATGCATTTTTAATTTTTCTTATCAATATAAAGTAATAGTTTTACATTTCTTCTTTTGTGGTTTCTATTTGGAGCAGTGGTATCCAAATATTAATTGTTTCTGACTCTTAGGGTTAGAAAATTTGAAAGTAAAAGATGAAAGGTGGCATCCAGAGTTGCTCTTCCAAAGCTGGATAATTGGATGAGGTTTCCTGCAGTTGCTGGCCCATCACTTTGATACACATATATACACATTTACACATGCATACTTGGCTTGAGGTCAGAGGATAGAGTTTGTGCCTAAAAGAGGAGACAAAAAGCTCAGAGGGAAATTCTGGAAAGGATGAAGTCACAGAAATGACAGGCCCCCAAATCTACATTTGAAATGTGCTCAACTATGTGGTTATCTGTCAATGTATAAATGCTTGGGAGAACACAGGAGATTTAGGTAAACGTAGCAACTAGAAACTGAAAAAAAAAAATGGAGTATGTTTCAGCTGCTGCCTAACAAAAAGGAGGTATAGATTGGAGTTTGGGTTCAGCCAAGTTAATTGTCTGATAGAACAAAATTCACTTTTCATGGGAACATAATAGAATGCAGAGTCTTCACAAATATCATTTGTAATATTCACTATCTTTAAACATTTTGTACTTTCTACATTTTCTGGGATGAAAACAAAAATAACATATTTGTTGTGAAATCATTATTTGTGAAATTAATATATTTATACTATTTGTGTAAAATACTATGTATGTGAATTACACTGTTTAATTTTATAGTGTTCATCATGTTTTTTATTCTGTTCTGTGTCTGAAACACTTTCTAAAGGTTGATAGTCACAGACATATTAATTTAAATAATACTGGTTTTAAAATGTCAGTATTGTTCAATTGCGTTAATCATTAATTTAAGATAAACATATTATTGGAATTACGGTGCTTGGTAAAATCCTGAAATCTACTTTCAAAGCATCAAAACAATTCAATTTTGTGAAATATATCTTTTTGGCTCTCATAACTTTGTTTCAGTATGAAGGAATTGACCTCTAGCAAACAAATGCAATCCATTTATAATTCAGCAAATTAAAGCTTAATTACTAGCTTTAACAAAAGAACTATACAAAGCTCAATCATTAGCTTTACTGAGAGATCTATATTGTCATAGCTATATAAAATTAATAAAAAGTATTTTGCCTGAAAAGTGGCTGTGGCAATTCTAAGATCTGTTCTAGGAAAAGGACTGTACGACTGACCAGAATGTGTACATTTTACTATATGTGAATGGTGCCCTATGGAGTCGTGCACATATTCAGTGGTTTTGGTTCTATGCTAAAGTCAATGAATCTTTAACACAAAACAGAATCAAATTTAGTGACTATTATTGGCTAAATTGTGCCCCCCCACCATTTCATTTGTTGAAGTCCTAACCCCTACTACCTCAGAAGGTGACTTTATTTGAAGATAATCTTTATTTTATTTTATTTTATTTTTTTTGAGACAGAGTCTCGGTGCATTGCCCAGGCTGGAGTGCAGTGCATGATCTCTGCTCACCACAACCTCTGCCTCCTGGGTTAAAGCGATTCTCATGCCTCAGCCCCTGAGTAACTGGGATTACAGGTGAGCACTACCATGCCCAACTAATTTTTGTATTTTTAGTACAGATGGGGTTTCACCATGTTGGCCAGGCTGGTCTTGAACTCCTCTGGCCTCAAGTGATCTGCCCATCTTGGTCTCCCAAAGTGCTGGGACTGTAGGCATGAGCCACCTCACCTGGCCAGAAGATAGAGTCTTTAAGGAGGTGATTAAGTTTAAATATAGTCATTGGGTTTGGTCCTAGTCCAATATGGCTGGTGTCCTTAAAAGAAGGGATTAAGACACAGACATTCACAGAAAACACATGAATAAGAGGAAAGATGGCAGCCACCTACACACCAAGGAAAGAAGCCTCATAAGAAATCAACTCTGCTGGCACCTTGGTGTTGGACTTCTAGCCTCCAGAATTGTGAGATAATGAACTTCCCATATTCAGTTTGTAACCTCCCAATGGGTTACCCATTGCCTAGACAGAGCCGATTTAACAAGAAGGGGAAATTGCAGTAGAGAAAGAATAATTCACACAGAGCGGACTGTGCAGGAGACTGAAGTTTTATTATTACTCAAATCAGTCTCTCCAAGTATTTGGGGATCAGACCTTTTAAGGACAACTTCATGGGTGGGAGGAAGCCAGTGAGCCAGGTGTTCTCATTGGTTAGGTAGCAGATGAAGTCATAAGGAATTGAAGCTGTCCTCTTACACTGAGTCAGTTCCTGGGTGGGGGCTACAAGATCAGATGAGCCAGTTAATACATGTGGGTGGTGCTAGCTGATCCATCAAGTGCAGGGTCTGCAAAATATCTCAGGTACTGATTTTAGAAGCAGTTTAGGGAGGGTGAGAATCTTGTAGCCTCCAGCTGCATGACTCCTAAATCTTAATTTCTAATCTTGTGGCTGATATTAGTCCTACAAAGGCAGTCTAGTCTCTGGGCAAGAAGGAGGGTTGTTTTGGGAAAGGGTTGTTATCGTCTTTGTTTTAAACTATAAACTAAGTTCCTCCCAAAGTTAGTTCAGCCTATGCCCAGGAATGAACAAGGACAGCTTAGAGGTTAGAAGCAAGATGGAGTTGGTTAGATTAGATCTCTTTCACTGTTTCAGTCATAATTTTGCAAAGGCTGTTTTAAGGCTACCCAGTTTGTGGTATTTTGTTACAGCAGCTCTCACAAACTAATGCAGTGAGTGACTGTTTAAGTAAAGATGCTATTGTGTTTCTATATTCTCATACTTGTACCTACTAAGTAGCTAGAGATTAGAAAAATTAAAAAATTTGGCCAGGTGCAATGGCTCATGCCTGTAATCCCAGTACATTGGGAGGCCAAGGCAGGTGGATCATCTGAGGTCAGGAATTCGAGACCAACCTGGCCAACATGAAGAAACCTCATCTGTACTAAATATACAAAAATTAGCTGAATTTGCTGGTCGTGGTGGTGGGTGCCTGTAATCCCAGGTACTCTGGAGGCTGAGGCAGGAGAATTGCTTGAACCCGGAAGGCAGAGGTTGAAGTGAGCCGAGATTGTGCCATTGTAATCCAGCCTGGGTGACAAGCAAAACTTCGTCTCAAAAAAAAAAAGAAAAAGAAAAAGAAGAATTAAAAAATTGAAAGTCCTTGCAAACTAGACATCTATCAAAAGCATAAAAATGAAATTTTAATATACAACATGAAAAATAACAATATATAAATGTTTACTTAGGGATAAAGTTAAGAGTTAGCATAACCTATATAACATATATTTTTTCTTTTTTTTTATTATTATACTATAAGTTTTAGGGTACATGTGCACATTGTGCAGGTTAGTTACATAGGTATACATGTGCCATGCTGGTGCGCTGCACCCACTAACTCATCATCTAGCATTAGGTATATCTCCCAGTGCCATCCCTCCCACCTCCCCCCAACCCACAACAGTCCCCAGAGTGTGATGTCCCCTTCCTGTGTCCATGTGTTCTCATTGCTCAATTCCCACCTATGAGTGAGAATATGTGGTGTTTGGTTTTTTGTTCTTGTGATAGTTTACTGAGAATGATGATTTCCAATTTCATCCATGTCCCTACAAAGGACATGAACTCATAATTTTTTATGGCTGCATAGTATTCCATGGTGTATATGTGCCACATTTTCTTAATCCAGTCTATCATTGTTGGACATTTGGGTTGGTTCCAAGTCTTTGCTATTGTGAATAATGCCGCAATAAACATACGTGTGCATGTGTCTTTATAGCAGCATGATTTATAGTCCTTTGGGTATAGACCCAGTAATGGGATGGCTGGGTCAAATGGTATTTCCAGTTCTAGATCCCTGAGGAATCGCCACACTGACTTCCACAATGGTTGAACTAGTTTACAGTCCCAGCAACAGTGTAAAAGTGTTCCTATTTCTCCACATCTTCTCCAGCACCTGTTGTTTCCTGACTTTTTAATGATTGCCATTCTAACTGGTGTGAGATGGTATCTCATTGTGGTTTTGATTTGCATTTCTCTGACGGCCAGTGATGATGAGCATTTTTTCATGTGTTTTTTGGCTGCATAAATGTCTTCTTTTGAGAAGTGTCTGTTCATGTCCTTCGCCCACTTTTTGGTGGGGTTGTTTGTTTTTTTCTTGGAAATTTGTTTGAGTTCATTGTAGATTCTGTATATTAGCCCTTTGTCAGATGAGTAGGTTGTGAAAATTTTCTCCCATTTTGTAGGTTGCCTGTTCACTCTGATGGTAGTTTCTTTTGCTGTGCAGAAGCTCTTTAGTTTAATTAGATCCCATTTGTCAATTTTGGCTTTTGTTGCCATTGCTTTTGGTGTTTTGGACATGAAGTCCTTGCCCATGCCTATGTCCTGAATGGTAATGCCTAGGTTTTCTTCTAGGGTTTTTATGGTTTTAGGTATAACGTTTAAGTCTTTAATCCATCTTGAATTGATTTTTGTATAAGGTGTAAGGAAGGGATCCAGTTTCAGCTTTCTACATATGCCTAGCCAGTTTCCCCAGCACCATTTATTAAATAGGGAATCCTTTCCCCATTGCTTGTTTTTCTCAGGTTTGTCAAAGATAAGATGGTTGTAGATATGTGGCATTATTTCTGAGGGCTCTGTTCTGTTCCATTGATCTATATCTCTGTTTTGGTACCAGTACCATGCTGTTTTGGTTACTGTAGCCTTGTAGTATAGTTTGAAGTCAGGTAGTGTGATGCCTCCAGCTTTGTCCTTTGGCTTAGGATTGACTTGGCAATGTGGGCTCTTTTTTGGTTCCATATGAACTTTAAAGTAGTTTTTTCCAATTCTGTGAAGAAAGGCATTGGTAGCTTGATGGGGATGGCATTGAATCTATAAACTACCTTGGGCAGTATGGCCATTTTCATGATATTGATTCTTCCTACCCATGAGCATGGAATGTTCTTCCATTTGTTTGTATCCTCTTTTATTTCCTTGAGCAGTGGTTTGTAGTTCTCCTTGAAGAGGTCCTTCACATCCCTTGTAAGTTGGATTCCTAGGTATTTTATTCTCTTTGAAGCAATTGTGAATGGGAGTTCACTCATGATTTGGCTCTCTGTTTGTCTGTTGTTGGTGTATAAGAATGCTTGTGATTTTTGTATATTGATTTTGTATCCTGAGACTTTGCTGAAGTTGCTTATCAGCTTAAGGAGATTTTGGGCTGAGACAATGGGGTTTTCTAGATATACAATCATGTCGTATGCAAACAGGGACAATTTGACTTCCTCTTTTCCTAATTGAATACCCTTTATTTCCTTCTCCTGCCTAATTGCCCTGGCCAGAACTTCCAACACTATGTTGAATAGGAGTGGTGAGAGGGCATCCCTGTCTTGTGCCAGTTTTCAAAGGGAATGCTTCCAGTTTTTGCCCATTCAGTATGATATTGGCTGTGGGTTTGTCATAGATAGCTCTTATTATTTTGAAATATGTCCCACCAATGCCTAATTTATTTAGAGTTTTTAGCATGAAGGGTTGTTGAATTTTGTCAAAGTCTTTTTCTGCATCTATTGAGATAATCATGTGGTTTTTGTCTTTGGCTCTGTTTATATGATGGATTACATTTATTGATTTGCGTATATTGAGCCAGCCTTGCATCCCAGGGATGAAGCCCACTTGATCATGGTGGATAAGCTTTTTGATGTGCTGCTGGATTCGTTTTGCCAGTATTTTATTGAGGATTTTTGCATCAATGTTCATCAAGGATATTGGTCTAAAATTCTCTTTTTTTGTTGTGTCTCTACCAGGCTTTGGTATCAGAATGATGCTGGCCTCATAAAATGATTTAGGGAGGATTCCCTCTTTTTCTGTTGATTGGAATAGTTTCAGAAGGAATGGTACCAGTTCCTGCTTGTACCTCTGGTAGAATTCGGCTGTGAATCCATCTGGTCCTGGACTCTTTTTGGTTGGTAAGCTATTGATTATTGCCACAATTTCAGATCCTGTTATTGGTCTATTCAGAGATTCAATTTCTTCCTGGTTTAGTCTTGGGAGAGTGTATGTGTCGAGGAATTTATTCATTTCTTCTAGATTTTCTAGTTTATTTGCATAGAGGTGTTTGTAGTATTCTCTGATGGTAGTTTGTATTTCTGTGGGATCGGTGGTGATATCCCCCTTATCATTTTTTATTGTATCTATTTGATTCTTCTCTCTTTTTTTCTTTATTAGTCTTGCTAGCGGTCTATCAATTTTGTTGATCCTTTCAAAAAACCAGCTCCTGGACTCATTACTTTTTTGAAGGGTTTTTTGTGTCTCTATTTCCTTCAGTTCTGCTCTGATTTTAGTTATTTCTTGCCTTCTGCTAGCTTTTGAATGTGTTTGCTCTTGCTTCTCTAGTTCTTTTAATTGTGATGTTAGGGTGTCAATTTTGGATCTTTCCTGCTTTCTCTTGTGGGCATTTAGTGCTATAAATTTCCCTCTACACACTGCTTTGAATGTGTCCCAGAGATTCTGGTATGTTGTGTCTCTGTTCTCATTGGTTTCAAAGAACATCTTTATTTCTGCCTTCATTTCGTTATGTACCCAGTAGTCATTCAGGAGCAGGTTGTTCAGTTTCCATGTAGTTGAGCGGTTTTGAGTGAAATTCTTAATCCTGAGTTCTAGTCTGATTGCACTGTGGTCTGAGAGATAGTTTGTTATAATTTCTGTTCTTTTACATTTGCTGAGGAGAGCTTTACTTGCAAGTATGTGGTCAATTTTGGAATAGGTGTGGTGTGGTGCTGAAAAAAATGTATATTCTGTTGATTTGGGGTGGAGAGTTCTGTAGATGTCTATTAGGTCCGCTTGGTGCAGAGCTGAGTTCAATTCCTGGGTATCCTTGTTGACTTTCTGTCTCGTTGATCTGTCTAATGTTGACAGTGGGGTGTTAAAGTCTCCCATTATTGTGTGCGAGTCTAAGTCTCTTTCTAGGTCTCTAAGGACTTGCTTTATGAATCTCAGTGCTCCTGTATTGGGTGCATATATATTTAGCATAGTTAGCTCTTCTTGTTGAATTGATCCCTTTACCATTATGTAATGGCCTTCTTTGTCTCTTTTGATCTTTGTTGGTTTAAAGTCTGTTTTATCAGAGACTAGGATTGCAACCCCTGCCTTTTTTTGTTTTCCATTTGCTTGGTAGATCTTCCTCCATCCTTTTATTTTGAGCCTATGTGTGTCTCTGCACGTGAGATGGGTTTCCTGAATACAGCACACTGATGGGTCTTGACTCTTTATCCAATTTGCCAGTCTGTGTCTTTTAATTGGAGCATTTAGTCCATTGACATTTAAAGTTAATATTGTTATGTGTGAATTTGATCCTGTCATTATGATGTTAGCTGGTTATTTTGCTCGTTAGTTGATGCAGTTTCTTCCTAGTCTTGATGGTCTTTACATTTTGGCATGATTTTGCAGCGGCTGGTACCAGTTGTTCCTTTCCATGTTTAGCGCTTCCTTTGGGAGCTCTTGTAGGGCAGGCCTGGTGGTGACAAAATCTCTCAGCATTTGCTTGTCTGCAAAGTATTTTATTTCTCCTTCACTTATGAAGCTTAGTTTGGCTGGATATGAAATTCTGGGTTGAAAATTCTTTTCTTTAAGAATGTTGAATATTGGCCCCCACTCTCTTCTGGCTTGTAGGGTTTCTGCCGAGAGATCAGCTGTTAGTCTGATGGGCTTCCCTTTGAGGGTAATCCGACCTTTCTCTCTGGCTGCCCTTAATATTTTTTCCTTCATTTCAACTTTGGTGAATCTGACAATTATGTGTCTTGGAGTTGCTCTTCTTGAGGAGTATCTTTGTGGCATTGTCTGTATTTCCTGAATCTGAACCTTGGCCTGCCTTGCTAGATTGGGGAACTTCTCCTGGATAATATCCTGCAGAGTGTTTTCCAACTTGGTTCCATTCTCCCCATCACTTCCAGGTACACCAATCAGACGTAGATTTGGTCTTTTCACATAGTCCCATATTTCTTGGAGGCTTTGCTCATTTCTTTTTATTCTTTTTTCTCTAAACTTCCCTTCTTGCTTCATTTCATTCATTTCATCTTCCATTGCTGATACCCTTTCTTCCAGTTGATCACATCGGCTCCTGAGGCTTCTGCATTCTTCACGTAGTTCTGGAGCCTTGGTTTTCAGCTCCATCAGCTCCTTTAAGCACTTCTCTGTATTGGTTATTCTAGTTATACATTCTTCTAAATTTTTTTCAAAGTTTTCAACTTCTTTGCCTTTGGTTTGAATGTCCTCCCGTAGCTCAGAGTAATTTGATCATCTGAAGCCTTCTTCTCTCAGCTAGTCAAAGTCATTCTCCATATAGCTTTGTTCCGTTGCTGGTGAGGAACTGCGTTCCTTTGGAGGAGGAGAGGCCCTCTGCTTTTTAGAGTTTCCAGTTTTTCTGTTCTGTTTTTTCCCCATCTTTGTGGTTTTATCTACTTTTGGTCTTTGATGATGGTGATGTACAGATGGGTTTTTGGTGTGGATGTCCCTTCTGTTTGTTAGTTTTCCTTCTAACAGACAGGACCCTCAGCTGCAGGTCTGTTGGAATACCCTGCTGTGTGAGGTGTCAGTGTGCTCCTGCTGGGGGGTGCCTCCCAGTTAGGCTGCTCAGGGGTCAGGGGTCAGGGACCCACTTGAGGAGGCAGTCTGCCTGTTCTCAGATCTCCAGCTGCGTGCTGGGAGAACCACTGCTCTCTTCAAAGCTGTCAGACAGGGACATTTAAGTCTGCAGAGGTTACTGCTGTCTTTTTGTTTGTCTGTGCCCTACCCTCAGAGGTGGAGCCTACAGAGGCAGGCAGGCCTCCTTGAGCTGTGGTGGGCTCCGCCCAGTTCCAGCTTCCAGGCTGCTTTGTTTACCTAATCAAGCCTGGGCAAGGGTGGGTGCCCCTCCCCCAGCCTTGCTGCCGCCTTGCAGTTTGATCTCAGACTGCTGTGCTAGCAATCAGCGAGACTCCGTGGGCGTAGGACCCTCGGAGCCAGGTGCAGGATATACTCTCGTGGTGCGCCGTTTTTTAAGCCTGTCGGAAAAGCTCAGTATTCGGGTGGGAGTGACCCGATTTTCCAGGTGCCGTCCGTCACCCCTTTCTTTGACTCGGAAAGGGAACTCCCTGACCCCTTGCGCTTCCGAAGTGAGGCAATGCCTCTCCCTGCTGTGGCTCGAGCAGGGTGCGCGCACCCACTGACCTGCACCCACTGTCTGGCACTCCCTAGTGAGATGAACCCGGTACCTCAGTTGGAAATGCAGAAATCACCCGTCTTCTGCGTCGCTCACGCTGGGAGCTGTAGACCAGAGCTGTTCCTATTCGGCCATCTTGGGAAAATTTTCAGTCCTGTATAACATATTAAGAAAGCAATATAGCCTGTTATTTATGAGTACTTAACTTTGCCACTTGTTATATTCATGTCCAAAGGCAAGTGAATTAATTTTCTGTGCCACGAATTTCCAGGGATATTGCTGAGAACTTACCTTATTCCTTTATTATAGAACTAAAAAGACAATTTATGTAAAGCAACACAGTGCCTGTTGTATATTATTGCTTAAAAAGTGTTAGTTATTTTTGTCGTTTATTCATTTATAAAAGGAAGTATATTAACAGTTATCAGATTGTTTACTTATAAGATTTGACCAAAGATACACTTGAAAAGCCATTATCACTTTTCCAAAATGAATTCTGTTAGCTTTTCATCAAATAGATAAAAACATGTCACTATTGTGTTCCTCTTCAAAGATACCGTATTAGGTTTCTTTGTTGTTGTTGTTGTTTTGCTTTTGTTTTGTTTTTGCAATGTGAAGCTGATTAGATTACTTCCAGATCTACTTTATGTGTTAATTATTATAATTCTACAAATAATGGGTTTGATTTAAAATATTGTGCTAACCACATAATTTTTACTTTGTTCAAGTTCAATTTATTTTTCTAAAAGTTTAAAAAGATGATTTAAAAAAATCCAAAGCCTCCAGTAGCTTACCGTTTTACCAGTCTAGTTAGTATGATATTTTAAGCATAATTTAGGACATTATTGGAAGATATGCAAAAACATGGGGCAATTATATCGAAAGAAAATAAATATTTAGTAGTAACAAAATTGAGGTTCACTGTTGTGGAACTTGATGAGACCCTGATGTGTAACCAGTTCCAGGAGGGCTATTTTGTTTTGTTTTGTCTTTATTAACAAAAATAACAGAAAGAATAACAGTTATAGTACAGTAAAAGTTTTATGGGTTTTGTAGAGAAGAAGGGGTAATTAGGTTCTGAGCTCTTTGGAGCCAATAAGCCACTATCTGGGTTTTGCCTTCAAAAGCAAATTTAGAAAATTTATACAACAGCAAGTTTAGACTAAAATACATATTTTTTTAAAAAACTACAAAGAGACCTCTTTTTTTTGAAGCTTTGATAGGGTAAAATAAACCTAGAAGCTGTTTACTATAAAGTTAGTTACTCTAAAGTTTGATAGAGATGGTGGAATACAAATGTAGGCGAGGATGTTTTTGTACCTGAAAGTCTGCAAAAAGTGCAAAAGATACAACAGAGTATTATTTTAGACAGTAATTGATGCTGATATAATAGCAGTATGTCATTAAATTGTCCTTGGGTAATCTAATTCCTGAAATTTTACTCCTTATATAATGTCTCTTGCTTATTCATAATAAGATGTCCTAATATGAAATCTATCAAGTACTTTAATTTCTGAAACTTAATTTTAACCTATTACTTGTCTTTCTAGTTTCAGTTCAGCCATCATCTCCTTTAAGACATCTACTTTATTCCTTTAGTCTGTGTCAAGGACAATTCTTATTTGGTAACAATTATCATGTGTGTACCACTATTGTAGCATTTATCATATTCTAATTTGTGTTGCTTATTAGGCTGTATGACTTGCATGTTTTAATTATCTGTCCCTTCTTCTAGCACCATGAGGACAATGTCTGCTTATTTTTCTTCTTCATTAATCTTTATTTGTAATCTTAGCACCTAGAATAGTATTTGCAAGAGAAGGTGCTCAAAATAACTTTAATTAATAAATGAACAATTGTGTATGAACTAGTCCCATTTAAAAAGTACATTTACACATTTCAGAGTTCCACTTCCATGTGATGGAAACTATTAGAATTCAAAGAATAAAAATATAAAGGAAAATAACCTCCTCTTTCTTAGCAAATCCAAGTATATTGTAACACCACAGGGAAGGTCAGAAAGTTCTTCTGTTCTATGTTACTCTACTATTATAGAGTTTACTTTTCAAGTTAATATCAGGCCCTATGATATATCAGAGCAATTTCTGGACTTTGCTACTTTGTATCTTCTTGCAGAGCTTATTATGAAAAGAATGCAGTGTTAGCACAAAGTTCCCCCACAGTGCTAGGCTGGGAACCATGGGTTTTATCTTTCAATGTCCCCATGTGAGCAATTCCCCTATGCTGGGAGGTCCCTCTGGACATACACCCTGAAGACTCTAAGAAAATAGCTAAAAATATGACTGAATATTTCACAGTTTTTCTTTCCAAAACAAAACTATGGGAATTTTATGGAATCTAAAGGGGTTACTAGAGATAAAAATGGCTTTTCCTGTGAGTCAGAAAGAGTCACAAAAATAGCTGACACAAGCAAATGTGGCAGTTGCAAACTGCACGCAAAAGATATTTGATAACACTAAGCATTCTCCACAAGGTAGAAAACTCTGCACACTAGAACATAAGGTAGTTAGATTTGAAAATGAAAACAAAACACAAAAAATAGAAAGTGTTGACAAGACCTATGTTATAAAATACATAACACAACACAATAATACAACATTATACCCTAGACTTCAGTTAACTCCTGTGTAAATGCTGCTTTTAAAGCCTGATCTGGCTGCCTTAGAAGTTTCCCATGAGGACTAAATAAAATGACAAATGTGCGAACGTGATTTTGAAATGCAAATGACTGTACAAATACGACTTGCCCATGGTGTGGTTAATCATAAACAATAGGTGGAGAAATTATGGATGTAATGATAGCTTCATCTAAGCCTAAGAGGAAGAAACTACTCATGCCCATGTGAGTTCTCTACCTCTTTGGGTGATTATCTCTCCCCTGCTTACTACTCTTCAAATGCACTGGACATCAGTAGGTCGTCAAATATGCCCGCGACTTTCCCTCCTCAAGCCTGTAACTCAAGCCTTTCCCACTGCTCATGTCACCCTTCACCCAGTTCTTCACAGGGCTCAATTGTTCTTAGCCTCACATAAAAGCATCTTGTCAGGGAGAAGTCCTCTCTGACCAATCTGTAGAAAGCAAGCCTTCCTTCCCAGTTGCTCCTAATTTTCAATGTCAATATCCATTAACTGATTTTTCTTCACTTACCGATATTGATTATAAATACAGAAATTTTAAGAGACGTTTAGCTTGAGTCTCCCTCAGTCCACTGTAAGCTTTATAGTTAGCCTGTTTTGTTGGTCTTAAATATCCAGAAAAATTCATAGTGCCTGTCACATAGTAAGTGCGGTTAAATAAGTGAATAATGTGGTTTCTGGGTAAATTTTTATGATTTCAATTTACCTATAAATTTGGATGATATAAACTACCTCCATGTTTCTTTCTAAAATCAACACTCTTAAATACATTGACTATGGGAAGAAATCCTTGTATGCTGTATCCCATTTGTCTCTTAAGATACCTATTTTTGCTACACATTTCACTGTGTAAACAGTAAAGAGGAAATAAAGGAGGCTGGAAAGAATGGAGCATGTGCAGAAAAAGAAAGACTGAAAGATCACTAGGTATTGTAAGATGGAATTGGTCAGTATGTAATATTGGATAAATCATTTAACTTTTGAATTATGGTTTATTCAATTATAAAATATAATTGTTGGAATAGATAATTTTAACTTTCTTCATATCAAAGCTATCCTAGGGGAGTGTTTTATTTTTATTTTTTTTTTTGAGACAAAGTTTCACTTTTGTCACCCAGGCTGGAGTGCAATAGTACGATCTCGGTTCACTGCAACCTTTGCCTCCCAGGTTCAAGCTGTTCTCCTGCCTCAGCCTGCCAAGTAGCTGGGATTACAGGCACCCGCCACAACACCTGGCTGATTTTTGTATTTTTAGTAGAGATGGTTTCCCCATATTGGCCAGGCTGATCTTGAACTCCTGACCTCAGGTGATCCACCAGCCTCAGCCTCCCAAAGAGCTGGGATTATAGGCGTGAGCCACCACACCCAGCTGGGAGGGAGATAAAAACTAAGCAAAAAATATTCATTTTGAATTATAGATATAGGTGTATGTTTGAAAGTAATATGATTTATATCTATAATGCATCTTATAATTTCTGTTATAAAATATATACTTATATATCTAATATATAATTACATATGTATGTAAAAACATATGTTTAAGAAAAATATACTTAAGAAGTACATATTCTGCAAGTATTCTATAAGCTTGGAGTGGTGCTATAAAATTGCAATAAATACGTAACATTAAAATAGATGGTGATACACTAGAAAAAATGTGTTAATAAAAGTCACGTGGTAAAGCACACAAGTTAATGCTACAAAGGTTGATATTTCAAAAGAATAACAGTTGTTTCAAGATGTTTTCCTTCCTTGTTCTGTTTCGTTGTCTTCTACTGGTTGGTTTGCCAATTCCAACCAAGGAAACACACTTAACAGACTGATTTGAAATTGATTTTATTAGTTCAGCCGTCTGTAAACATTCTCATGCATCATTAATATTATACATTGCAAAGAACCGCTTTCCTTAAATTGTAGATTTTTGGATATAAATTCAAGACTGTAGTAAATAATTGTCTGACTGTGAAATGAACACTTGTAGTATATGCACTCATGAGTTAGCTGAAGTGTATAATTAAGATATACATTTTAGTGTGGCTTATTAAATCACAAAACACAAAAAAGCCATTGGAATTTGAATGATTGTAAGGAGTAATAAGATTTGATAGAGGTTACAATGACAGATAGCATTTTGTTTGATATTTCAAGTTTGGTAAAATTACACCTGAATTGAGAATTCTGAATGCTTTATGTATGTATCAGGTGCTATCTAAAATAAGGCAAATAAAAGTTTAATTAACTAAGAAGTTCTAAACTATTGCAATACCTTTTAGAGTAGCAAAGTATGTGACTGACCAAGTTGAATGAGCATTTCCATTTCCATATAAAGTGCAAGAGATTTAAAAATATGCTTTTTTGCTTCTATTTGTAAATCTTAAATTTCTGAAAATGATCTTCTCCCTGCCAAAATTTCTATTCTTTGACTGTTTTACTCACCTCCCAATTCTGATTTATGACCAGATCAGATTGATGCCATGTTTCACAAGAGGCAACTGATCTGTCCACATTTTTTTTAACTGCACCGCGACCTCCCTATTCCAAGTCATAAGCATCTCATACTCAGATTATTGTAACCTGCTCACTGGTCTCAAAGGTTTTATATCTCCACTTCTTCATTCTGTTATTTAATCAGCTGTCAGAGTGATCTTAAAATGTAACTTGGAAATGGCTCTTTCTAGCTGTTCTTGTGTGGGACTTAAGTTCAGATCACATTATTGCACTCTTGTGAGCAACTTATACCGCATTTGCAGTACTCCTCTAGCTCCATAGTAAATGACTTCTAAGCACCATGCAGAATAACAATTCTTTAATTGTTCTTCCTTATTTAATTTGCACAGAAACCCTGTGAGGTAGATGTTATTAGATCCACTGTGTATATGAGGAAATTGAGGTTTGTAAGTCACATGACATGTCTCATCTAAGCAGTGACAAAAGCTGGAATCCAGGTACAGAGAGTTGTGACCCAAAACCCATGAACTTTCTATTGTATCATTAGAAACATAAGGATCCCAGTAAATCAGGTGAGTCTCCCTTTTAATTTATGTTTCTCCTTCCCCAACCATTAACACTGATCCAATATTTACTCATATCAGCTTGTCTGAGAATGTTATGCTCGATAGTAGGTAGAAAATCACAAGTGAAGTGCCAGCCCAAAAAAGCAGTCAAATGGATCTTTCTCTTCTCTTTTCACCCCTGATTACTATCCTGTGATGACTGGTTATTGCGTGATAAGCCTCCAAGTTTCTCATGCCATTAAATCACTATATTGCTGCCAGGTTTTGCTCAAAGGAATGAACATCCATTTCTCTTTGTCATTTGGTGCCATATGTCATTGTCTCAGATTTGACTGGAAGAGAGTTGGACTTGTGCACTTTTAATACTTCTGCCCCG
Organism: Homo sapiens; assembly: GCF_000001405.40. Lineage (NCBI taxonomy): Eukaryota > Metazoa > Chordata > Mammalia > Primates > Hominidae > Homo > Homo sapiens. The sequence goes on from NC_000009.12 coordinate 102,229,833, forward strand.
CTGCAGAATCTTGCAAGCTCATATCAAGTTTCCAATAACTACATTGTCTTGAAAATAATAGTTGGCTTAATAAAAATCCTCTCTCCTCACTAAGTTTTTAAGCTACAAAGGCTGTAAGGATATTATATTAGTAATGTCGTTCTTGGACAGTTATGACTATTGAGGGGAAGATAGCCAAAATATACCCAGCCTCTCCCATGTATCTGGCAAGAATAGTGTATAAAAAGCAAGACTGAATCTGCTCTCAAATAGCTACGACTTTGAGATTATCAAGAACATGAGATATTTGTAGTTTGTTACTTGGCTTGTGTCCCAAGTCTATCTCTTTGTGGCCTCTATGGCCAGTAAGTGCTGGATCACACTATCTTCTGTAGTCTTGCCCATACTGTGGATAGGAACATGGTCACTCTACACACTGTGTCTTTCCCAGTTTGTTTTCCAGGTCCAACTTCTGGGGCTTTTGTGTATGCTACAGCCAGTCATATCATAGACCAAAGATCACCTAGTTTACCCTGTGGAATGAATTGAGGGAAAATTTGCTGATAGGACACATGATAGTAAAAGCTCTAGAAAGGCACAAAGGCCTAAGTGTATAGTGGCAACTCTGTTTTTCCAAAGGAATCTTAGTTTAAATAAGATTCTAAAGTCTGGGGCATAACTTCTACAAAACCTATGATGGTAATGGACTCCACAGTTCATGTCTCGAGCATGAAATAGCTTCTGAGGAACCATCCCATGGGTGTTACCATTCAGCTCTGCCAAATCACATTCTCCCAGAAGGAATGTTTGGATTCTGAGGCTACCTGTCAAGTTTTTCTAAACTTAAAGTTTTCCCATTACCCTTCATCATGTTCAAACTTTCCACCTTCCTTCCAGTTTCTGTCCTGTACTCCAAATTAAGTCTTCTAATCTTCACTCAGGGATGGAATTTGGGGAGGTGCTAAACCTTTGTTACCCTTCAGAAGGGTGTACTATGATGTTATAGGCAATAGGCTTAGCTCCCTTATCTCCTGTAAATTATTAAAGAAATTATCCCCACCACACTTACTAAAAGCAGTAAGAGACATTCTAATATAGCTAGGGTATTTCATTCTAGTTTAAATCTATTTACTCTTCTTTTTCCCAGTGTAATTATTAGTAATGCTTCCTTTCAGTATCAAAAAAATTTGACAAAGTGTGATCACATTTTCTACAATCTACAATCTATACTTCAAGGTACTAGACCATTACTTACAACTCTCTGAACCTGATGAATTCTGTAACAACATATATCACTAACCCACAATTCTCCTTGTATATAACTTTCTCCTCTCCTCCAGCTGTATTGGCACCTTTCATACACCATCAGTATATAAATTATAGTTGTTGATTTGTTTCCTTCTAAGAACAACAACAAAAAAACCCGAACATATTTGTGTGTGTTTGAAATGTTTTATATGTTTATAGGAAATATGTGTGTATATAAAATGTTACATGTAATGATATACATGCATACATAAATTTTGGTTTTTAAAATATCTATATAGAGAGAAAAAAAAGAAGAGAAATTTGACTGTATTGTATTGTGATATAGACTTAATCAATAGACTGGTCCTCCCTCCCTCCCTCCTGTTTGCTTTCTTATTTTTAAAAATGGTGAACTTTGAATTTAAGTTTTATAGTGGTAAAAAGTAACTTGGATCAAATCAGTTCCTTTGCTCAAAGACCTTCACCACTGATCATCCCAATGCACTTACCCTTAACACAGTCCACGAGGTCCTGTGTAATCTGACTCATTACATAAATTATCTTTTATGTTTGATTACATGGAATTCATGTCCTTTCTATGCTCCAGCAGAGGGAGGTTCTTTCAGTTCCTTGGTGCACCAAGCTACTTTATGCCTCAGAACTGATTATTTCTCTCATGTTCTAGACTCTACTTTTCTAAATCTTACACCTGGAAGGCCATTTAGGTAAGCCTCATCACCCTCCTTTATCATCAATGATTCTTGCTTTCACTAGTTAATTTCCCCCTGATACTTAATTGGATTCCATGGAGATAAACACAGAAATGTTTATTTAACATCTTTGTCACACTTTGAATCCTGAGCACTTAGGTATGGTAGAGATTTGTGCCCAAAGTCTCAAAAGGTGGAACTTTTAAGTAGTTTTAATAATTTTTGTCCCTCAACTAGGAAGGCTCAAACTCAGTCCATACTGAAACGGGAGAGTTCCCTGATTCCCCTCACAGGTGTGCGACAGGGGTGTGGCTTGCCTGCTCCATCACCGGACAGCTCAAACCCATGGGGGGAACATGCAGGTGGGCAGGTGCAGAGGCCGGCCAATGCTTCTGGGCTCCAGCCTTTTGGTAATGTCTAGGGAAGGGCACCTGCAATCCCAGTGTTACAAAGCTCTTTCAGCTCTGCCATCTGCAGATGGGATGAGTGTTAATCAGCTCAATGGACCCTCTTCCTTCTGGCAAGGGCAGAGGGACAGTGTGACTGCTTCCTGTATCCTGAGCTCTTGCCCAGCATACTGAAAGAATCAGATCACACATGGGCTCCAAGGAGGAGTGCAAGGTTTTATTGAGTGGTGGAGGTGGCTCTCAGTGAAATGGATGGGGAGCCGGAAGGTGGGAATGGAGTGGGAAGGTGATCTTCCCCTGGATTCTGACTGTTCTCAGCCTATGTTCAGGTGCCTCTTCCCTACTCTGCCACGACACCCCGCCACTCTGTGCTGCTCTTGATGTTCAGCTGCTTGTGTGTGTGCCCACTAAGGTTTCGTGTTTTCCCCCTTTTTGATCTTGAAATTACATGTGTTTTTATTTCTCCTCGATAGGAGTTGATGTCTTTTGATATCTCACCACTGACCTCATTTTTACCTCATTTGCTAGATCTTACCACTTTGCTAATACTCTTTAAAAGTAATTTAACTGACTCATTTCAGTGCTAATATCTTGTTATAGACACAGTCTAAATATATGGTAACTATAACATATAATTATTTAAATAATAAACTATTAGTTTATTTTTTGTAATGCTATCTTATTATTAGCTACTAAGTGCCTTATGTGACCAGAGATCAATAAATTATTTCTCTTCTCTGCTTGAAGTTTCAAATTAGAAACACATTTGAGTGATGAAGCTAGAGCTATTTTACAAGGTTGACTGCTATTATTGGATTGATGAATTTTAAGATGTGGACATATGTGAGAGGCTCACCCAACAGACTTCACTGGTTTCTAGGTAAGAAATTGATGTCAAATAAGGAAAGGAGGTAGGAGTAGTAGTAATTGTATATTATGAGGAATTTTCTATGTCTCTCATTTTGTGTTTCAAGATCCTTTATCATCTTTTAAACTCATGTATAAAATCATATATTAGCTCCAGAATTACTGAAATATACACTCATAATTTCCATGAGTTGTCAAAATTTTTGTGATTTCTAAGCCTTAGCCTTTTCAGTTTGTATTTTAAATTCTAGGATAATTGTTGGTTAATATATTTGTATCTATCTTGTTAAAAAAAAACAGATACTCTACAAAGAACAACTGTTAGGTATATTGACGAAAACTATTATGTCTTTGGAAGGCATTGGTTAAATATGAAAAACAACCTGGAAAGAAAAAAAGACATCTTTCACTTTAGAAATCAGTTTTTATTAAAATGAAACAAAATATTGTATTTTAACATCACTTCTATTGACCTCACACATTGGGATAAAAAAACCAAACATGGCATGTGTTTCCATTTACTTCATTTATTCACATCATCTTTCATATTCCACAAAAACATACAGTATATTTCTTCAAAAAGATTCTATGTTACTCAGGTACAATTGACTCCTAGAATTTTGATTTTTTTTCTGTTATGATTGATTGTCTATTAAATATCCTAACAGATTTTCATTGGTATATAAGAAAGTTGTTTTAAATTTGTGTTACAATTTACCTTGAATAAAATGTGCCTTTTGTGAGTGAAATCCCTGTTTATCAACAAAGGGACCACTTGCAGATCTCTGAACCTCCTCTCTTCAGTTTTCCCCTCTCTGAATCCTCAGCAACTCCCCACAAACTCAACTGTCTGTCGCTTTCTCTGTCTTCAATGTATCGGTATCTGAAAAGGGCTTCCAGCAGGGCGTGGTGGCTGGCTCACGCCTGTAATTCCAGCACTTTGGGAGGCCTAGGCAGGTGGATCGCTGGAGGTCAGGAGTTTGAGACCAGCCTGGCCAACAGGTCGAAACTCAGTCTCTACTAAAAATACAAAAATTAGCTGAGAGCAGTGGTACACCACTGGGGTGGCTGAGGTACGAGAGAAACGCTTAAACCTGGGAGGCGGAGGTTACAGTGAGCAGAGATCATGCCACTGCTCTCCAGCCTGGGCGACAAAGTGAGACTCAGTTTCAATGAAACAAACAAAACAAAGACCTCAATAAACCAAAAAAGGGCTTCCAGATACAAAGCCTCCAATATCATAAAGGCTAATTTTGTTTTGTTTGTTTTCTTTCTTAGGAACCACAGTTATACTGCTATCCAGTATCTGAAAATAAATGTTTCCTATATTTTATTCAGTTTTCTAGTTGTTTGTTTATGGTGGGAGGGCTAGTCTGATATTAGTTTTTCTCATGACAATGGTGGGAGGGCTAGTCTGATATTAGTTTTTCTCATGACAAGATGTAAAAGACCATGAATATTAATATTGGCACATTTAATTTGTATAAAACTATATTATAAAACAACTGTTTTATTACTTCAAAAAAATCCAAATGATTTTTAATTGGATTAATTTCCTTTTAAGTAAATAATTCACCATAAAGAGTGTTACTTTTTTCCTTAAATATTGTAGTGCTAATAAATTACAGAATCAATCATGTGAACTAACAATGTATTTTTATCTTGTTCTGGACTTAAAAGTGAATGGTTTTAATGAATGTTAGTTTATGATTGGAATTTATTTTCTTTAACAAAATATTTTAAGAATATTAAGAGAAATTTCATTTTTTCTAATGTCTTCTATTACACTATTGCTTTACTAAACCATTCTGGTATTCCTGAAATAAATTCTACTTGATAAAAAGGCATTTATTATTTTTTAATAACTAAATGCTAGTATTTTGTTTTGGAATATTTGCAATTATATTCGCAACTGAAATGAGCTCATATTTTTATAATGATACATGGTTGTGGAATAGAGTTACATTGTTTTGCTAAATGAGTAGTGGAATTGACCATTTGTCTATCCTTTACTTTTACAAAATTTATATGGAAATAATAGAATAATTTTAAAGAGCAAATTCTTTTTATTGTTTCAATGAGGTATAATTGACATACAATAAGCTCTACATACATAGAGTGCACAATTTAAGAGTTTTGGCTGGGTGCGGTAACTCATGCTTGTAATCCCGAGGCCGAGGAAGGCGGATTGCTTGAGCCCAGGAGTTTGAAAGGAACCTGGGAAACATAGCAAAACCCCATCTCTACAGAAACTACAAAAATTATACTGGCACAGTGGAGTATGACTGTAGTTCCAACTACTTGGCAGGATGAGGTAGGGGTATCGCTTGAGCTAGGAAGGCTGAGGTTGAGGTTGCAGTGAGCTGAGATTGTGCCACTGCATTCCATCCTGGGTGACTGACAGAACAAGACCTGTCTCAAAAACAAAATGCATTTTGACATACATATACACTTGTGAAACCATCACCACAATTAAGATAGCATCCACACATCATCTTGTTCATTTGCAATCCCTTACTCTCCTTCTCCTCTGCAGACAACCATTGGTCTCCTTTCTGTCACTATAGATTAGCTTGTACTTACTAAAGTTTTACAGAAATAGTATCATGCATTTTAAATTACTTTTTTAACACAACAGTTATTTTGAGATTTATCCATGTTGTCCACATTTTATTGTTTTCATTGCTGATTACTAGTATTTCATTCCATAGATATATTACAATTTGTACTACTGATAGAATTTTGTTTTGTTTAGTTTTTGGCTATTATAAATAAAGCTTCTATGAATATATGTATGCAAGTTGGTGTGTGGACATATACTGTCATTTCTCTCAGGTGAATACTTACTTAAGAGTAGAATGCTGGGTCATAGCATATGTGTATGTTTAACTTTTATATAAACTTCTAACCTGTTTTTACAAAGTGGTTGTATTGATTTAGATTCCCATCAGCAGTGTATAAGAATTCCAGTTGTTCCAGGTCCTTGCTAACACTTGCAAGGTGTGTGTAGGATGTTTATAGTAGTATCTGATTGTGGTTTTGATTTGCATTTACTGCATACTGACAAAGTTGTGCATTTTTTATAGGCTTGTTGGCCACTCCTATTCCTCTTTTGTTGAAGCATTTGTTAGATTTTTTGAAAAATTTTATTTTATTTTTACTAATAATTGAGTTGAAGAGGTTTTTTTTATATTTTTTAAATGAAAGTCCTTTGTTGGATATATGTTTAGCAAATATTGTTTCTCAGTCTGTGACTTGTTTTATCATTTCTGTAATAGTATCTTTGAAAATTGTTCTTAAAAATTTTGATTAAGTTTAATGTGTTGATTTTTTTTATAGTTTGTTTTAGTTTTTTTTTTTTTTTTTTTTTTTTTTTTAGACGGAGTTTCACTCTTCTTGCCCAGGCTGGAGTACAATGGTACAATCTTGGCTCACTGCAACCTCTGCCTCCCAAGTTCAAGCGATTCTCCTGCTTCAGCATCCGGAGTAGCTGTGATTACAAACGTGCCACTATACCCGGGTAATTTTGTATTTTTTAGTAGAAATGAGGTTTCTCCATGTTGGTCAGGCTGGTCTCGAACTCCCGATCTCAAGTGTCCTCCCACCTTGGCCTCCTAACTAGGATTACAGGTGTGAGTTTTTTTTTATAGTTTTTTATAGCTGCCTCCTGGGCTCAAACGATTCTCCTGCCTCAGCCTCTAGAGTAGCTGAGACTACAGGTGCACACCACCATGCTCAGCCAATTTTTTGTATTTTAGTAAAGACAGGGTTTCACCATGTTGCCCAGGCTGGTCTCAAACTCCTGAGCTCAGGCAATCTGAATTCCTTGGCCTCCCAAAATGCTAGGATTACAGGCATGAGCCACTGTGCCCAGCCTATTTATTTTATTTTTTACATATTTTTTACATATAGTTGTTAAAATGATTATCTTTACCCATTAAAACAGCCTTTTAGGGTTTATTTTCTCCTGGATTTTGGCAAGTTTCCTTAAATACTTAAGCTCAGTACTTAGCTTGAGACTAATGGGGGAACTATCCTGGGTGCTCTCTCTCTCTCTTTCTTTATTCCAGCTAGATCTATAGATTTGTCATTTCTGGTACTCTGCTCAGCAAACTGAGACCATTTTGGCCACCCCAAATTCTTAACACTTTTTTTCTTAGGCTCTGTTTGGGTTTCCTTTGCCTGCACTGCATCCTGGAAATGCTCCAGGAAGTGAGCTGAAACCACGATGGGTATTACCACATTTGTTTTCTTCTCATACAAGTTACACTTCTGCATTTCCTCCTGTCCAATATGTGCAAATTATTGCTTCACATATTTTGTTTAGTTTGCTTTTAGTAGTTTACTTGGGAAGGGTCAGTGTTACCCCATCATGGCAGAAAACAGAAGTGACCTAAAAAACAAAATTTATTATCAAATTGGTTTTATACCTAATGTTAAGATAATATGACACACTTTAAAATTCTTCCATGATTACGTACGTCCTCAGCCAAAAGACAAAATGGACGACCTATGGCTAACTGAGGTGCTGAAAGTTAAAACAAAAGTAGGCAGCCACAGCGAGGTGAGGGACTTCTCATGTACTCTGTTCTCAGAAAGGTGTAAAAGTGTAACAGGACCTCCCTTTCCACAGTCAGGCCAAACCACTGCCTCTTGTCTGTGGCAAGATAAACTACAGCCAGAAACACCTCCTCCCCTCACTCCCACACACAGGACCTTTGACAGAAACATCTTACAGTGACTTATGGTTTGGGGCTTAGAAACCAGGTTAGCAGAGCCTATTTAGAGAAATTAGAGCAGAACAAGTTTAACTTCTTCATTTGCATGGATGCACCTAATTGAGAATGAAGGCAAGAACTTTCCTTATTTAAGCCAGACCTTTCCTTTGTTCTTTGGTGAATACAATTTCACTTGTACTGAAGACTGTTTCTTCCCAATCTTCAGGTTAGTTTTTATAGAAAATAAAGCTCTACTTTTTTCCTCCACAGAGCTTATGGTCTTTTCTTAACATTTCTTGATGACGAGGATGGGATTTGAAGTGGCACCCTTGCTTTTTCCCAACACTATCTGGACCAATGCATTTGCACCTGCAAGAACCCCTTGAGCTCACTTATCTTCCTGGCTGCACCAGGGAGAAATGAGGTAAGGCCCCTTGGACCCAATATCTTTCTTTTGTTCTTAGGATGAGGTTTTTGGCACTTTATTATTTCAGTGATTCTTCCCACCCAGTTCCACAGATTACCCACTGATGGAGTATACCCACACTTTGTTGGGTACACTCACACTCTGGGCTACACTCATGCTATGTAGGGTGTGCTCACACTTCAGTTTTGTGAGGACACTTGCTCTTCAGTTGCACTCAAAGGGACTGCCTTCATAATATGAGTCTATTCCTGGGAGTACTTGTTTTTTTTTTTTTCAGGGGATTTTGGGATTGCGCCTTCCAGCCCTCTTCAGGAAACATCATCTGTAAAAATTTATTCTAAACCTAGAAAATTATACCCTTCACCTTCCATGAAGAGGCAGCTGGTTCAACTTGCAATTAAAATAAATCTCAAATTGTCTGCCTTGAGTGCCCTGAAAGATTGACAAAATAGCAATCCATCCTACAGTCTATAGGCTAAAATTCTGTGCTTTCCTGGCTGTGGCACAGGTTTGATTTCTGATCAAGGAACCAAACCCATTTTTTTAAAATTGTTTGTATGACTCTTGACCTTTTGGCATACCCTTTTGTTATTGATCCTATCCCTTTCCAATGGAAACTTTTGACTTCCAGTCTTTTCCATCTGAGGTGCATGTGGGGCTTTTGGGTCTTTAAGTATAGGTGCTCTGTGAGAAGCAGCTGGGCCCTAAACAACATGGCTGGACAGATGTCAGTTATATCCCATTTGAAACTACTAAGACTTTTCTCTCTTTGAACTCCCTTTGGGTGGTTCTAGATATTGCAAGGACTACTTTATAAATCTGTGGAGATGCCTAGTTCATCTTAGTTTTGTCATGACCTTTAGTTTGTCATGACGTTGGTTAAGATAATTCACTTGAAAAGATACTTTTGGTGTTTTTAAAAAAGCTACATAAAGTATTTATAAAATATAGGGCTGGGCACGATGGCTCACGCCTGTAATCCCAGCACTTTGGGAGGCTGAGGCAGGCGGATCATGAGGTCAGGAGTTCGCGGCCAGCCTGGCCAACATGGTGAAACCACATTTCTACTAAAAATACAAAAATTAGCCAGGTATGGTGGTGGGCGCCTGTAGTCCCAGCTACTCGGGAGGCAGGAGAATTGCTTGAACCCAGAAGGTGGAGGTTACAGTGAGTTGAGACTGTGACACTGCACTCCAGCCTAGGCAGCAGAGTGAGACTCCATCTCAAAAATATATGTGTGTATATGTATATTTATATATATACATATATATGTATATACGTATATATGCAGCCTATTTTAGCTGTGGGCCTATGTGTGTGTATATATACATATATACATGTATATGGATATACATGTATATATGTATTTACATATACATAATATATACATATATAAATACATATACACATATACGTGTATATATGGGTATATATGGGTATACATATATACACATACATATACACGTATACATGTATATATACATGTATACGTGTATATGTATGTGTATATATACATATGCGTATAACATGTATATGTGTATATACACGTATATATGTATACATGTATACACATGTATACATACGTATGTATATGTGCATATATAAATACATATATACATGTATACATACACACACACATATATAGGCCTGCAGCTAAAATAGGCTTACTTCTTTTGCAGAGCTATCCATGCAAAGTCCAGACATAAAAAAATGCTTTCTCCACCCTATTAAAGGGCTGCACCCTGAAATCTGTAATATAATCAAGAAATAAGCCAAGTTTAAAAGACGAGCTATCTAACTAAATTGGTCTCCAGTACTTTCTGGAATTTAGCTGGCTGTTTGGAAAGTCTTGGTAAGAAACAAACATTTTCATCTATAAAAATAATCTCCATTTGCAAGGACATCTCCCTCCCTGCACCTAAAGCACTAGAAACTATTGTTTTCATGTTTACATAAAAGACCTTAACTTTGTTTAAGATAGTTTTCCTGGCAATCTAGTCTTGATTGGACCTTGTCCTTGATTGTCTCAGCAAATAATGTGTTTGGATCTAAGGTCTGTGCCTTTGAAATGTAAAATTTCACCTAAGAAATCATGTTTTTGGAAATACAGATTGAGTTACCTTGCTAATAATCATTTAGAGCTGTATAGTCTACAAGGAGGAAAAAAAGCTACATGAAAGCTGGCGAATGAAAAATCTTGTAAGGCTATATGATCTGCTTCTTTGTACCTGCATGTCTATGTATTTATATGTGATTTGTGTATGTGATATTTCACTATTGAAATATATGAAAGAACTCTACTTGGCTTAAAGAAAATGTAAACACTTAAATATTTCACCAGGAAAATAGAAACTAACTCAAATGCCTTTAAGCTCAAATGACTTTGGTGATGTTTGGTAAATAAAACTACTTTAAAATTGTTGGCAAAATAAAATTAGAATGTCCTCAAAATTGTCAGTATTAAGTATAATTCAAGCATTTTGCCTGGACTTACTCATTATACAAGTTTAGGCTGCTTTTGATAGATGTTTTAAGGTCATAAAACTGTTGTTCCTGTACTATTTTTGATACTTGCTTTATTTATCTGTGAATTAAAGCTGTAAAGTTTCGCTGCTGGGCTCCTTCAAAGTCTTGCACACATCTTACTCAGTTTGTCTTTGAACAAGCCCATGAACTGTGGGGCCTAGACAGGTGGCCATGGTGGGACCTGGGGACATGTCTGAAGTACCTGGACCACCAGCTGCAAGGTAGAGTCAAGCCAATCAATCATCCCTGACCCAGCTTTGCCTCCTGAGCATGCTGAGTGAGGTTGGATCCTAAAGGTATCATCTTCATAGCCCTGTCCTCTATCCTAAGCTCTAAGCCTGGTATGTAAATTCAGAACCCTGACTGGACCTGCCCTTCATTATCACCTGTGGGTGCCACGTGGGTACATGAGACCCAGGACAATTGGAAATGGAATTAGAAAAGTTACCCATGTCATAGTTACAAAAGTATTTTTAGTAATTTAAAATCGTAAAGTGTGTTATGTCAAATTAACTAATAGATACTCATGAAATGTCAGAGTCATTTTTAAGTAAGTTTAAATATTGGAACACTAATTATTAAAGATAAGATGAATGAAGTTTATATATTTTGACATCTTATTTTTATATGGTATAGAAAAGCTAAATATATTTAGAACTGTTTGTTAATAAAACGTTGAAACTAAAATTCATGAAATGGTTTTAACCTACAAATACTGGTTAAAAAACAATTCAAAATTACTTACTTTCTAAGCTTTTTACTGGAAATAAGTGTAGCTAAGAGTTAAAATTGCAGTTCATATAAGTAACTAAAACTACTAGATACTAGAGAAACAGTTCACTTTACAGAACATATGAAGGAAAGTAGGAGCCATTTTTGGTAAACCAAGTTAAAAAGAGTAATATTTTTTCTTTTACATGAGGGAGAACTTTGTATGGTCAAAATGATGAGGGGAAAGTAGAGTACATTTTTGTCCTAAGGTAGAATGCCACACACACAAAAACTCAGAAGTATAAGACAAAAATAAGACAAAACTAAAGGTTTGAGTAAGTTGTAGAAGGTGTGTGAAAAATTAATGAAATGAATTTTGTGTGTGGTCAAGTTGGCTAAAATGGAAAGAAAATTATAAAATTACAAGTTTTCCTAAAAACTGAACATTAATATCAAAAGCACATTGATGCAGGGCTAGAGTGTGTGCCCCTGTGTTGAAACAAAAGGGTTTTCTTGAAGCATTAATTTGCCCTCTAATAGAAAATTGTGAAAAGTTTTTCTTTACCTTTGAGGTAACTGGCCTCTAAAACAGATTCCATTTTGTGCTTCATCATAATTTCTTGTGCTTTATACCTTTAAAATCTTTTGTAACTTTGGTTTTATTTCATAGTGATCTGTGATCCTATTGCCAACCAATACTTTACTTTAAACTTTTGATGTTTGACAAGCTTCCCAAAATTAAATTTCAAATTCCAAAATCAAGTCTTTTGGACATTAACTTAGTCATAACAGAAATACCCCAAAATCCAGGAGAGACATACTAAGCTTATTCATTGTGTTTAAATCATACAGGAAACGCTGTCAAATAGCAAAAAAGATATGTACCTTTCTTCAAGTTATATTCAAAGACAGAATCTTGCTCTGTCGCCTGGATGGAGTACAGTATTGCGATCTCGGCTCACCGCAACCTCCACCTCCCGGGTTCAAGCGATTCTCCTGCCTCAGCCTCCCAATTAGCTGGGAGTACAGGCACCCACCACCATACCCAGCTGATTTTTGTATTTTTAGTAGAGGCGGGGTTTCACCATGTTGGCCAGGAATGGTCTCAATCTCTGGACCTCGTGTCCCGCCAGCCTTGGCCTCCCAAAGCGCTGGGATTACAGGGGTGAGCCACTGTGCCCGGCCCTAAATGTATTGTTAATGTGAGTTCCAAAATTGTATGCTATATCTAAATTCATATTTATCTTGATATATATTATTTGCCATAATCATAGTTATTATATTAATGTCATATGCCACAGAAATAACCAAATGTTTTTGCTAATTGCATCTTTAACCATGGCTACTTTAAATTTTTCTCAACCACATTTATTTTCTTAAATCCTTTTCATACTAAGCCTAAGCACCTAGCTCCTCTTTAAAATTGTTTTATTTGCTTGAATAAATGTTTTACTAGTTTGCCAACATCAATTTGACTGCATACTTCCAGGTCTTATCCATAGACTTACCAGATGCCACTGAATAGCAGTAAGATACACTGAATTAAATCTAGCAGGTGCCTGCCCATCTTCTCACCTTACACTTGACCAAGTTGTTCAAACTGACCACATATCTCTCAGCCACATGAGTCCCACCAAGGGAATAGGTGGACCCAGTGCAGTTAGCCACATCATTCTGGCAACAGTATGGAACAAAAACATAAGTTGATCATCAACACTGCCTATGACAGGTTTCCACTAAAAAGGAGGAAAATTTACCTTGGCCAGTGGACAAAATGGACTCCCCATGGCTACTGAAATGCTCAAAGTTAAAACAGAACCTGGTTGCCATAGCCGGGTAAAGGAGTAGTCATATCCTCTTGTGTTCCCGGAAAGATGTAATAAAAGTGTAACAGGACCTCTGTTTCTACAATCTAGCCAAGCCATTTCTGTTGTCAGTGCTAAGACAAACTGTACTGCACCTGGAACCCCTCTCCCCTCAATCAGCTGACAGAAGGAAAAGAAACATCTAACAAAGAACATTTGTCAGAGATTTCTAGTTTTTCAGTTGGAAACCACGCAATCAAGGACTATTTCTACCAATCAAAATGACATAAGGTTGAATTCTTTATTTGCATAAACTGCCTGATTGAGGACTACCTATTTAAGCCAAACCTTCCCTTTGTTCTCCAGAGAGTACACTTTCTGTGCCTCTGAAGGCTGTCCCTCTCCAATCTGCAGATTTTTAAAATAATAGAAAATAAAGCTTTACCTTTTTTCCTTATGTATCTCATGGTCTTTCATTATCAGTTTTGTTTTTTAACTTATGAGTCTGGTTTGGTAATCAATTTCTTTTCCTAAAAAAGTAGTTAAATATGTTAATGTTGATTCACATGAAATTGTTTATATTATGTTGCTTTTAAGTAGCTAGCAAATCTCTAGTTATACCACCACTCTCACTAAGTTCTGAGATTTTGTGTTTGTTTCTTATTATTATCTTTGGTAGATTAAACAGGTTAGACGCTTGCTTATTCTATTGCTTGTCTCAAAGATATAGATTTTAGCTAATTTTATCTAATTGACTGTTCTTTTTTAAATCAATTTCTGCCTTTATCTTTATTGAGTGTTCCTCCAAAGTAGTTTTTGCTTGTTTTATTGTCCCCTTCTTTATTTCTTAAATGGTATGCTGAAATTAAGTTATTGCTTTTCTTTGTTATAGTGCCACCTATAGCTACAACCTTTCTGATTTGATATTAATTATTGTCATTCATTATTACTGCTTTCTAATAATCTGTATGGGTACTTTTGATCTGCTGTCTAATGAGAAAGTAATTTGCAAGTGGTATACTTTTGTTATTTTTTTTACAACTTTTATCAATGTTTTCTAAATTCTCAAATGTCAATAATTTTAAGATAAACCATCAATTTAATAATGGTTGTTTTGGAGGGAAATAATTAAATGTGATTCATACTCCAGTTTGAATGTAATTTTTCTTTATATTCTCTGATTAAAGAATCTTTTGAATCCTTTGGCCATCAAAGTTATGTACATTATCACATAAGACTTCCTTAAATCATGGCATTTAACAGGCAACCTTTTTTATAAAAAAGATACTTTATTTTAATTTCAATGCTGTATTACTAGAATATTTCAAAAGGCATTTTAAAGTAAAAATTCGTTGTCCAACTTTGGGTTTAAATTCACATCATGTATTGTTAGTTTACTATCACAAATACAACTGCATTGGAAAAGTCAGACTTAAAAAGTACAAGCAAATACTCTAAAAAGTACAATCAACTTTATTCTTATGCCTCTCCTTTCACCTATTCAAATAATTTTCTGGAAGCTATTTATTTCTATTCTTCCTTTTATGTGAAATGTAGAGCAAGTCTCATGTATGTCTTTTTTTACCTCCTTTTAGGCAATAAAAACCACTTCTGTTAAGAAAAATAAGCATTCTAATGTCATAGTCTACATTTAAAATTCATTCCATGTTTCTCTTCTCCCCTTCCTTAGATCTACTTAAAACAAGTCTCTTGGACTGAAAATATATAGTGTTCAAATTCCCCCGTCTCTAGTATCTTGGTTTCTCTCGTAAGGTTAAAACTGGAAAAGAGGAGGCTGTATCAGTGGGTAGGATCTTACCTCATGGTTTTGTTGGGGTGTTCAAGCATTGACTTCTTCGGGTTTGGCAGATGTTGAAAGTTTACTCTATTTTGGCTGATGGTTTCGTTATCAACCTCCTTCTCTTCCTCTCACTATGAAGTAAATGTATCTCCTCCAATTGGTAGCTCAAGCAGTTTTCTTGCCATCTATGCATTGGCAGTTCACCTCTAGCTTCTTTCTGCTGATGGCAGCTTCATCCCTCCAAGAAATTATAATGGGCACCATCTAAGTCAATTCCAGGACTATTCTTTCTCAGACTCAAATGAGAAATCAATTCCTTAAGATGTTACCTCTATCCGAAGCTCCAGGGTAAACATGTGAAATTCTGAGTGTGATTTTTTAACATCAATTTTCCCCTCCTAAGGTAGAAGAAAAGCATTCCTCATCTTAGACCATGGGAATTCTATGCACTCTGAAAGTCCTTTAAAATTTCCATCTCACCTTCTCCATCTACTTCATAAGCTAGATATCTGTGGTTAGTTAAGATCTCCAAATTAGTGTTCAGAACCTACACGATCATGTCCTGCTTTATTGACCATCAACTTCCCTTTGAAATTCTGAGAGAAGCTGGTACATTTTTCTTGGAGGCATAGCTGAAACAGAGATAGAGTTACATTTTAGCATTTTTATTAATATATTACTATTAGAGATATTTAAATTGAATAGATGACTATGTTAAGAGTTATTTTAAAACCATGTATAGTTCACAGATGTACAGGAATTGATCATTATCTCATGACTTGTACTTGTGTGGCAGCTACAAGTTTAAGACTCACCTTAATTTAGAAAATCTAAAATACAAAAATTTGTAGAATTCAGGATTGAAAAAATATGGCCATTTTAATTTCTATAATACTACAGTTAGACAATACAGCCTGAACAATTACTGTTTTGAAATTTATTGAGGTTGTCTATGTATTGCTTCCCAACAATTTTTACATTGTGGCATAAGAGTAAATTGCAATGATTATATGCTACACCAAGATGAACAGAGATGCGACTGTTCACCTACCTGCCTAGAGAGCTCAGGGAATCAATATTTGAACACATCTGTAACTCCTAAGTATTAGTTAGCAAGCTCTATTTTAATGTGTGATCAATTTCTGGAATACATCGTATTGGAAATGTTCATAATTTAATATATATGTCTTAACATTCTAAACATTCTCCAGCAGTGTTTCTTTTGCCTATTTGACCCTTCAAAGAAGGAAATGTGGGAAAGATTCCCATAGCTATTGCATGTAGGCCTATTTATTTATGTGTGCTAACGGTATTTTGCTTTCTGCTTTTCAAAGCTATGGTATTTCTTAATACTGATTCCTGATTCCTAGAATTTCCCTGTAAATTTTAACATTCAGCTATAAGCTATTGCATTCTAAGGGACAGCCCTTGAAACTGATTAGGAGAAATATCCATCAAATAGAGTTCCTTAACTTGGAAGTGCTGCAGTAAGTGGATGATATGTGAGTTGCCTACTTTGAAGAAGGCAGTGTTTTGGGCAGTATTTTGATAACTAATAGAGATTTTGGTATTTTTATGTATTAGTGTATTAGTTTCTTAGGGCTGCCATAATTAAATATCATGGCTTAAATAATTTTATTTTCTCACAGTTCTGGAGGCTGAAAATCCAAGATCAAGGTGTCACTGGGTTTGGTTTCTCCTTAATTCTCTTTTCTTTGCTTGCAGGTGGCTGCCTTTTCACTGTGTCTTCACATGACTTTTCATCTGTGTAAGAAAACCCCTGCATGTCTTTGTGTATTCAAATTTTCTTTTCTTATAAGGACAGCTGTCCTTAGATTGGATTAGGGCCCACTCTAATCAGCCTCGTTTTAACTTAATTACACTTTATACACCCTATTTCCAAATATAGTCACATTCTGAGGTACTGGGGCTTAGAGATTTAATATGAATTTTGGGGGAATACAATTCATCCCATAACAGTGAGGAAAACATTTTAGGGGACATAAAGTAGTCATTTACTATTATTATCAACCATTACTAATTTTCCGTCTAATAACAAGACCTTTCTCTCCTCGGAGGACCGCATTTCAGGCTTTATTAAGAGATCACCTCTATCTTCCCAAGAGTGGGCACATATCAAATATCTGGCCTATCGGAATACCAAATCTCTCTCGCTACAATGATTTCTTCTAGGTTAACACATTATTCAAGCTAAAATAGTGTGTGTCTTCATTGTGCCTTGTTAACTAGAACCATCAGGAAAGACAGTTCATTTAGAGAGATAAGTTTAGATTGTACATTGGCAATCAATAAGCACACACAAAACATTATAGATGTAACATGACAAAATTTTACTTTTTGCCCAAGTTACAGGTTCAAAAAAGTGAGATATTCTCTAGAGAATATTTTTTTATGTGATCACTCAGCAATCTATGGAGCTTTCCTTCATCAACAGGAAGCTACCATGCTTCCCACAACAAGGAAAATGAAGGCTAGAGGGATGTGTACTGAATTCTCCCTGCTTTAAACTGGAATTATTATTTCTCCTCACAGTCCATTGGCCAGAAATAGTCATATGGCCCCACTGCTACTAGAGGGCTGAGGATGTTGGGGAGCACATGGCTTTTGGATGAGAAATAAACATTTTTTCCACAAAGTTTATGAATAACATAAGGTGTAACTGCTGTATTTCATGGTTAAATGAATAAAGCAATTTTCATTAGGACACAATGAGGTCAACATGCAAAGAGAAGCAAAAATATGTAGAAAGGAAAGACTGAGGCTAAAGACCGTGGACCTTAGTTACTTTCTTTTAGTGTCTTAATTAGTGTTACCTTCTGAATAGAGCAGTTCTGTGAGCCAATAAAAATAATTATTATTATCAATATTATTTTATTGTTAGTTAAGTTTGCATCCAAAAGCAACTGGTAGAGGTCTACCTCATTCAATATACTGATATTATTATTATTATTATACATTATAATTATGTTTTATGTTTTTCTATTAAACTTAATTTGTGACACTTGCTTTGAATGTTTTATTCATATATTACAATGTTTTAAATTTAATATTTACCTTGTTTCAGGGCTTATCTCTCTTTTTTTGGAACATTCTCAATTTGTTATATATCTTTTGATTTAGTGAAACCTTCCTCATTCTCCATTTTGTGCTTCTGGTTTGGAAACAATGCATTTATTTTTATTAATGTAGTGAACACTATAAAGTCTTTTTTTAATTAAATAACTACAAAGAAGAAAATCAATTTCTTGATTTTTATATCTGAAAATGAAATGGCTCTAGAGTGTTTTAATCATTTTTCAGTTTCTACATTAATTTTGTAAAGTATTTTACTCATTTGAAGTTTTGTCATTATTTTAATTTACCTTATGCTTAGCATTTATTCAGAATGACCATGTTTGCAAATAACTCTACCCAGTTGTTTTTATGTTTATTCTTTTTCATATCACTCCTTTTCTTGATTCATGTTCCTAAATTCACCTGTAGTGTTGTAAACTACTTAAGTCTGAAAAATCTTATTTCACCTATACTCATTTCAGAAGTTTAGGCTGGGTGCGGTGGCTCACGCCTGTAATCCCAGCACTTTGGGGGGCCGAGGCGGGCGGATCACGAGGTCAGGAGATGGAGACCATCCTGGCTAACATGGTGAAACCCCGTCTCTACTAAAAAATAACAAAAAAATTAGTCAAGCATGGTGGCTGGCGCGTGTAGTCCCAGCTACTCCGGAGGCTGAGGCAGGAGAATGGCGTGAACCCGGGAGGCAGAGCTTGCAGTGAGCCAAGATGGTGCCACTGCACTCCAGCCTGGGCGACAGAGAGAGACTCCATCTCAGGGAAAAAAAAAAAAAAAAGTTTAACTAAGCTTAAGATTTTGGGTTGGGCCAGGCGCGGTGGCTCACGCCTGTAATCCCAGCACTTTGGTAGGCAGAGGCAGGCAGTTCGCGAGGTCAAGACATTGAGACTATCCGGGCCAACATGGTGAAACCCCGTCTCTACTACAAATAGAAAAATCAGCTGGGCGTGGTGGCGCACGCCCGTAGTCCCAGCTACTCGGGAGGCTGAGGCAGGAGAATCACTTGAAACCGGGAGGCAGAGGTTGCCATGAGCCGAGATCACGCCACTGCACTCCAGCCAAGTGACAGAGTGAGACTGTCTCAAACTAAAAAAAAAAAAAAAAAAAAAAAAAAAAAATTTAGGTTGATGGTGTTTTTACATTATTACTTTCTGATACTAACAGTTCTCTGCTTTTTTTAACCGTTCTCAGGTGCCAATGGGAGATTGTTATATACTATATAGCTAGTCAAAGTGGTAGGATTGGAAGCCATGTGTGTAATGTCACAATACCATACTGTACATGTTAAGCACATATGCCAGAGAATCGTAAGGATTCTTGGCCAAAAAGATCTAGATAGAAACTGAAGTCTATGCAGAAAAGTTAATAAAGCAAACCTAAGACTGCTATGTTTAGAAATGCCAGCTTGCAAGGTTAACCCTTGGCTGGCATCTGGAAACTTGGCTGGTAAACAGTTTCATACATTGATATAAAACTTACCCTAACTAATAAGAGTGGCTTGCTGTGCCTAAACTATTTGTACAATGTGGTTGATGGTAAAAACATGCTTTCTTTCTGGGAGTCTAGAACTTTGATACATGCTAGGCAGGTAATACCTACATAAGCAGACCCCAATAAAAGCCTTGGTCACCGAGTCTCTAATGGGCTTCCTTGGGCAGAAAATTCCCACAGCTGTTGCTGCATTTTTATTGCTGATTGAAGTGTGTGCTGTCTGTGACTGCTCATGGGAGGAAGAAAACATGAGACCTTTAAATGGACTCTTCCACATGTCTTTTTCTCTTATGATTCAGCTGTATATCTTTACTATAGCACATCGCTGTAATAAATCTTAGCCAAGAGTGTAGCTATATGGAAGGGTGTAACATTGTAGTTCAGTATAATAACAATAATTATTTCTTAGATAAGTATTGCGCTATACAAGCAAACATGAATTTTCTAATTTTAATGAGGATAATATCTTTTATCCAATAAGTTTATCATGAAGTCTACATAACATATGAACATGTTCTGTCATTTAATAGCTATAAATGAATTTTCCTTTTATTTCTCACAAGCAAGTCTATAAGACTAAAATTAATAAAAAAGTAAATAAAAATGAATTGTAGGGAAAAGTTCACTTGAAATACATGGAATTCCAATCAAGTTTTACAGGTTTGAAAGTGACTTTGGTGAAAGAAAAACAAAGTGTGTTATACATTGAGTAAGGAGGAATTCTATTTAAACAAAATATTC
The DNA here is from genome assembly GCF_000001405.40 of Homo sapiens. Lineage (NCBI taxonomy): Eukaryota > Metazoa > Chordata > Mammalia > Primates > Hominidae > Homo > Homo sapiens. The sequence goes on from NC_000009.12 coordinate 102,250,354, forward strand.
TTCAAAATATAAGGTTATAGTGATACAACGGAAATAGAAAAGGAGATCATAGTTACTGAATCTAAGGATACAAAGGAGATAGAAATGTAATAAAGTGGTGCTTATTCTAATCCCCAATGGTCTCTTTCTACAGGGGAAAGGCACATAAAATCACCAAAAACCAAATCAACCTCTCTCTCTCATTTCAAGGGAATTTATTGGTATTAATAGGACACATCGTACCCTCAGTAAAACAAAAATAAATTGTACACTGTGAGAATTAGGATCGCCTTAAAGATAAGTCAGTATACTTTCTCATTTATCATGTAAATGATGCTATATTTCTTCAAAGATGTACAACCTGTATAAACAAACTACTGATGCTATCATATTTGTCTTCCTTATTTATACCTACACTGAACTAGCAAGCATTTTCTTTAGGCATCTGTGGGGCTGAGTATTAACATTTGCTTAAATCAGTAAATGGATTAATTATGTAGTTTTTCTTGCCTAATGGTTGGCTGGTGTCAATAAATTCTTCTGTCTCTATTGCAAGATAAAGTTATTTTTGATTCCTGACTTAATGTGGAGAGGTCTCACATTAGTTTCTCCAATTTGCTAAGTTGAAATCCCACTCCGTAGTGGGATTGATGTCCAGGGAACTGCTAGGATTAAGGATTCAGAACACTTCCAGAGCAGCTCTGGCTTTGGTGTGCCCTTTTGCATTCTCGTTCAAGTTGTTAGGTTTATAGTACCGTTTTTGTTTTCCTTTAGGTTTGCTGAAGATTTTTGTTGTGGTGGTTGCTGTTGTTCATTGAAGACTTGCTTTATTTTCGTGAGAGCTCAATAATAGTTTTAAAAATGCATTCCTTCTAACTAAAATAATATTTGCATGTTTTACGGTAGGGGATCATATCAGAATATCTACCCTTTGTAAATTGGATTTGAATAGTCAGTAGAATTTTTAAAAATTATGTAGTAGTCAAACTTAAATTATTTTTAAAAAATTTTAAAATGAAATCTCCATTAAACACTGATGAAGCCCACATTACTTTTAAATTTAATTTTCAGATTTTCAGAATAATATATGAACAGCTTAAGAATCAAATATTTCTATTAAACTGATAAAAATAAAAAGTAAAGCATTAAAAACAGTGTCTCATCACCACTTATTTCTCAAGTCATGCTTCTCAGAGGTATCCAAACTCTTTAAACTTTAAGCTTTTCCATTCATTATTAACCTCCACACCTTAAAATACTATTTGTATCATTATTTCATGATTTATTAATTGTATAAATTAAACTTGACCTCTTACTATGGATGGTAAGGAATAGGCTTTCACAATAAGCTCCATTTTCAACAATCATGTTAAAGGTTTAATTTTGATTAAAACTATGTTCTGTATTTTCATTCTAATTTTGTAACTATTGTTTTGAGTACCTTAGATTTTATAAGTGTGTTTGCTGCCCTGGCACTTTAAATAAATAAGTGTTTTTAATCACTGGTGCTCTGAATTGTTATATTGAAGCACCAGAGATGATCAGGTTTGTGGATGGATTTCTAAAACAGATAATTCTGCGAAAGTCAAAGGAGAACAAAAAGAAGGATGTGGCTTGACATGTAAATTCTGTAGGGAAGGAAGATGATGAAGAAGCTCTTGATGCAGGAGAAAGCAAGAAAAGAAAGGAGGTGTCAGTTTGATAAAGGTTCACCATTTGCATAGGAGAGAATTAGATCTCATGAGCCAAGGCTAATCCGTTAGAATGAGCACTAGAATGGGTGAAAATAAAAAAAAGATAGAATGCTTAATTTCAACATTTTATATTCTTTATAAAGAACCTACTAGAATAACTGTTGTATGCCTACCTAATATGGTGATATAATACACACAAATATATGTGTATGTATGTGTGTATAAATATATACTATCAACAATATAATCTTCCTGTTTTTAAAATTGATGAGAGGCCAATAGAATTTTAATAACAAGTTCAAAAATAGATGAAGAAAATCAGGATACTCTTCGTTAATGGAAATAACTTTGGAGTGACTGAAAGAAATTTTTTTTTGTTTTTGTTATTGGTTTTGTTTTCTCCAGTTTCATTGGGTGTTTTGTGTGTTTTTGTTTGTATTTTTGTTTTGTGATATATAACTCCAAATGCTGCCCAAACAGGTTCAATTATGTTGAACAGAGGATATTTTCACCTCCCAATAATGGAATTGCGTGCACATCAAGATGATGGGAAATGGGGAAAGCCAAATTGCTTTGTATGATAAAGTGAGAAAAGTCTAAACCATTGAATAAGGACAGGGATCTGGGAGGGAGAGGAGGTGGGGAGCCAGGGGGGTGAGGTTCTGTATGGGAGGAGGGCAGATAATAGCCCTCAGAGATACAGCAGTGCTAAACAAGTCAAGAGAAAACAATCACAAAGATATGATCTGTAAAACGTTTGTGTGGAGATACACTATTCACTACTCACTCTCATTGTCACTCCTAAGGTATTTTTAGAAAAGCAACAATTTTTGTTTAATACAAATTAGATCTTCTAGACAAACTATAGGGAAGCAGGTGTCTGTATCTGAGTGGTTCTGAAACACTTCAATATTTTTACATTTCAGCCACAAACATATTTGCCCTTATATTTTTGTCATAAATATACATGTAGCATAAAATTTCCCATTTTCACAATTTTTCAGTGGCATTAATTATATTCAGAATGTTGTACAACCATCACCACCATCTATTTCTAAAGATTTTTATCGCCCCAAAAAGAAACTCTGCACACATTAAGCAATAATTCCTCAATCCTTTCCTCCACCATCTCCTGGTAACTTCTAATCTACTGCCAAAACAGTGTGATTTTGCTCCCCAGAAAATATTTGACAATGTCTTGAGACTCTGTTGGTTGTCACAGTGAGGGAATAGGGAGGTGCTACTGTCATCTTATTCCTGCAGGTAGCAGTATGCTCCATCTAATAGGATGCTGCTGCTTGAGGTCAAACCTTGAACTGTAACATTCAATCAGAGCCTTCCAAAGATCCGTCATTGTTCTCCATTATCAGCCCTAACAGAAAGAACATGGCCCAGAGCCACCTCATACAAGAAAGGGATCAGTGAACAAATTGTGGACGCACTTTCTTATCCTATAGGCGTACTGAATTTCCTAAATATTATCATCCCTAACCAGTAGATCACTGTGTTTGAGATTTTACTCTGGATCCTTCTGCCACACCCACATAGATAGACTGTGAGATGAAGAAGATACTGTGCCCTGTTGAAAAAAGGACTGATGACCAAAAATCAGTAGATAATCCCTTCCAGCAAACCATTAAAAATATTTTTGCATTATTCAAAGATTAAAACAGTAGAAATTATATTATCCTTTTACAAATAAGTAGGCATTTATTTATAGTTGTTATATATCCATTTATCGATTTCACTGTAATCTATTTCAGTTCCACTGAGGTCCACTAAAAATAACCTCTCCTGGCTGGCCTCCTCTGTCAACCATCTCACTGAGTGCTTTGGCTTGCCTAGTTCAGCCTCATCAAAGAAGGGAGACATCTTCAAGTGCAGCTTGCCTATCAAGGAGTTGATAGAAATGGCTTTAGGCGTTCCTACTATAGTCAAAGTATCCTTGGAAAAATTTAAGGACAAACACTCAACTTCTCCTTAATACTTAGTTATCTGGAAAATCACAATAAGGTCTTGTGTGTGGTCTAGGGACTTCACTGAGCAGAGAATGCAGTGCCACACACCACTCACATGCTGATTGAGCAAGATACAGGACACTCATGCTTTAAAAAACAGCCTCTTGATGGCATAATTCTTCATCTGGCTACAGAGCCCCAGCTCAAGCCCCAGCTGCAGGCCTACCCATTACGTTGCTTCTAGCCTCAAAATGCTTGGCTGTTAGTCTCTGAATCTTATCCCCAGGGTGAGTTTACTTGGGCCGTGGAAGCTTCCCAGGTGTGGGGTGCTGATAGGAAAGCCAGAAAGAGTAGGCTGTGCCAGTAGGAGCATCCTAAGCTTCAGGCTACAAGGAAAAGCTAGAAAAGGCTTGTAGTTTTAATAGCTGAGAAAGAGGATGCTAGGTATCTCAAGGTAGGAAAGCATATCTGTGGACAGAAAGGACTGTAGAATAGCCAAATCAGAGGGAAGGGCCACTCTACCTAGTTCAGTGAATGGCCTGAGACAACTGGAAGCAAGACCCTGCTAGTCCTGCCACAGTACACACAGGTTCCTTTTCAAAAGGAAAAAGGGAAGCAAAGATAAGGAGGTGTTTTCAATGGCTTTGTCCTCAGAACAAAGGCAAGAGGCAGGAAGGTCCATTACAAATAGACGTATCAGTACCAGCCCCTGTGCTAAGTCCAGGCCCAGATGAAATTGGGGCTGATATTGTAGACTCAGGATCCTGCAGCTCAGGGGCACATGCAAGGCTTTGAGCTGACTTTAGAAGAATAATACGGGCTTAGGCAGAGATATCTACCATGCCTGAAAAGACACGAGGAAAAACTCCACCTCCAGGCAGAGATTTTAAGTGAGAATTCCTGATTTCACACAGCTCCCTCCTATCCAGATGAAAGAAAAGTTTGGAAAAGTACAGCATCACACTACCATTAAAGATCAGAATGCAGGTCCTGAAGGCTAGAGTAATCTCAGCAGGGACAAGGGCTTCTGAAACCATAAGAGATGTTCCTTGTGTAAATCCACCAGATTCACTGATCAGTCCATCTGTCAGATTTACTCCCCTCCCACAGTCTCCTAGTTTGCTTCTGCAGGAGCCAAGATCTCCAACCTTGGACTGGAGAAACTGGGTTACTCAGTCTACTTTTCCCACTCGGCCAGGTTTTGTTTTGGGAGATATTTTGCAAGTAAGTCAGAAATCCAATAAGGAAAATCTCTAGCATCAAGATTTTTTTTTTCTAGAAAATGTAGAGATGACTCTGGAAGCTAACAGTGGTTGAGTAATTTTTTATAGTTTAAAGTCATTGAGATTTGTGCTAATTTGTTATACAGCAAACAACTATTACACCAAACACCCAAACAATTAAAACAAATCAAAACAAAACAACAGCTCATCCTTCTTCATTCCGCAACTCCTCTACATTTTGTATTTGTTAATATAATGGGAGATGCTTACTCAATTTATAATTCTTAAATGTTACTTTTTGAGTGGGCAATGAGTCAACCTTCAGTCATTCTGTTAAATTGTGTCCAGTGTAAACCATATTTGGCAGCTGATTTGGTTTGACTGTGTCCTCACCCAAATCTCATCCTAACTTGTAGTTTCCGTAATCCCCACATATCCTAGGAGGGACCTGGTGGGAGGTAATTGAATCATGGGGGTGGTTACCCTCATGCTGTTCTCGTGATAGTGAGTGAGTTCTTACAAGATCTGATGGTTTTATAAGGGGCTTTTCCCTCTTTGCTTTGCACTTCTCCTTGCTGCCACCATGTGAAGAAGAACGTGTTTACTTTCCCTTCCACCATGATTGTAAGTTCCCTGAGGCCTCCCCATCCGTGATGAATTGTGAGTCAATTAAATCTCTTCCCTTTATAAATTACCCAGTCTCAGGTATGTCTTTATTTGCAGCATGAGAAAAGACTAATACAGCAGCAATGCCTCAACATATTGACAGATTATTAATAATTTTATATAGTAACTGTGAAATCCTTAGTTCTTCTCGTTTTGCTTAAATTTGTTTGAATAGATTATTGAAGATTTTTGGCTTTTGTTTTGTTTAAGATGAACAGATTGTTGGACAATGTGCTGGAAAATACTTGTCCCTGAGTAAAGGAAGAGTCATTCTTAAAGAACCTCAATTAATCCTGATACAACATTCATTTTGTGTGTGTCTGTGTGTGGTTAGTGACAACACTTGAGGCCCACTCTCAGCAAATTTCACATACCCAATACGTTATTATTAACTACAATCACCATGCTGTTCATTAAGTCTCTAGTACTTATTCGTCTTATAATTAAAGGATTGCAATATTTTACCAATATCTTCCCTTTTCCTCAAGCCTAGCCCCTGGTAACTATCACTCTACTCTCTGTTACTCTGAGCTTAGCTTTTTGGTTTTTAGATTCTGCATAAAAGTGAGATCTTGCAGTATTTGTCTTCCTGTTTCTGGCATATTTTCACTTAGCATAACGTCTTCAAGGTTCATGCTAAGTTTGCAAATAGTGAAACTTCTTTTTAAGGCTGAATAATTATGTACTTTCATTGTATGTGTATACACACACATGCACACACACATATGTAGTGCTTGCTTCAGCAGCACATACAATAAAATTGGAACAATACAGAGAAGATTAGCATGGCTCCTGAGCAAGAATGACACTCTAATTCGTGAAGCATTCCATATTTCTTTTTTAAAAATCTATTTAAAAATTTTTAAAGTATATGCAAAGCACATTTTCTTTATCCATCCATCTGTCGACAGATAAGCACTTAGATTGTTCTCCTATCTTGGCCATTGTGAATAATGTTGTAATAAACATGGGAGTGCTGATATTTCCTCTACATCCTGACTTTAATTTTTTTGGAATGTATACCCAGAAGTGAGATTGCTGGATCATATGGTACTTCTATTTCAATTTTTGAAAAACTTCCATACTGGTATTTTTTTTAATTTTTATTTTTAATTTCAATAGGTTTTTGGGGAACAAAATAGTTTTTTTTTTCTCTTCCTGGCACTGGCTGCCAGAATTATCACTTATAGAGAGGCAATGTGATGATTGTGAAACTATCACCCAATCGCCTGACATTCCTGGTAGGTGGTGGGGTGGTGAGCCCCCTTTTGCCCTGCTCATGCCTGACTACCTATAACAGTTACATGGATAAGTTTTTCAGTGGTGATTTCTGAGACTTTGGTGCACCCATCACCTGAGCAGTGTATGCTGTACCCAGTGTATAGTCTTTTAGCCCTCATATCCCTTCCCACTGTTTCCCCCGAGTCCCCAAAGTCCATTGTATCATTCTTATGCCTTTGTGTCCTTATAGCTTAGCTCCCACTTATGAGTGAGAACATAGGATGTTTGGTTTTACATTCCTGAGTTACTTCATTTAGAATAATGGTCTCCAATTCAGTCCAGGTTGCTGTGAATGTCATAATTTTATTCCTTTTCATGGGTGAGTAGTATTCCATGGTGTGTGTGTGTGTGTGGCATTTTCTTTACTCATTGATGGGCATTTGGGCTGGTTCCATATTTTTGCAATTGCAAGTTGTGCAGCTATAAAATACATGTGCAAGTACCTTTTTGTATAATGACTTCTTTTCCACCTAGTAATGGAATGGCTGGATCAAATGTTAAGTCTACCATTAGTTCTTTAAGGAATCTCCACACTGTTTTCCAGAGTGGTCGTACTAGTTTACATCCCCACCAGCAATGTAAAAGTGTTCCCTTTTCACCACATCCATGCCAACATCTATTATTTTTTATTATGGCCACTCTTGCAGTAGTAACATGGTATCACATTGTAGTTTCGATTTGCATTACCCTGATAATTAGTATACTTTTTTAAATAATGGCTATACCAATTTACATTCCCACCAACAGTATATTAATACAAATGTTTCCTTTTTTCCATATCCTTACCAACATGGATCTTTTATCTTTTTGATGATAGACTGCCTAATAAGTGTGAGGTGATAGCTCATTGTGTATTTCTGCATTTGCATTCTTATGATGATTAATGATATTGAGCATCTTTACATATACCTGCTGGCCATTTGTATGTCTTTTTTTTTTTCTTTTTCCTGAGACAAAATCTCATGTTGCCACCCAGGCTAGAGTGCAGTAGCATGATCTCAGCTAACTGCAACCTCTTCCTCATGGTAGAGGTTCTCCTGTCTCAGCCTTCCAAGTAGCTGGGATTACAGGCGTGCACCACCATACCTGGCTAAATTTTGTATTTTTAGTAGAGATGGGGTTTTACCATGTTGGCAAGGCTGGTGTCAAATTCCTGGCCTCAAGTGATCTGCCTGCCTCAGCCTCCCAAAGTGCTGGGATTACAGGCATGAGCCATCATCACTCCCGGCCTGTATGTCTTCTTTTGAGAAAGGTCTATTTAGGTCCTTTGTCCATTTATAATCAGTTTGTTTTCTTGCTATTGAGTTGTGTAAGTTCCTTATTAACTCCTTATTGAAATCATGACTTACAAATGTTTTCTTTTGTTCTGTAGGTAACTTTTTCATTTTGTTAATTGCTACTTTTGCTATGCAGAAACTTTTTAGTTTGATGTTTTCCCACTTGTTTATTTTTGTTTGTGTTGTCTGATATTTTACTTTGGTATTCAAAATATTGCCAAAGACAATGTCAAGGAGATTTTCTCCTATGTTTTCTTCTAGGAGTTTTAAGGTTTCAGGCCTTATGTTTAATTCTTTAATCCATTTTGGGTTGATATTTGTGTACAGTGTAAGTGAAGCATCCAATTTTATTTTATTTTTGCATGTGGATTTCTAGTTTCCTCAACAATCATTTATTAAAAATTTTATCCTTTCCCTATTGTATATTCTTGATGCCTTTGTAAAAAGCTACTTGACTATATTTGCATGATTTTATTTCTGGGCTATCTATTCTGTTTCGTTGGCCAATGTGCCTAATTTCATGCCAGTACCATACTATTTTGATTACTACAACTTTGTAGCAGATTTTAAAAATAAGGTAGTGTGATGCCTCATGCTTTGTTCTTTTTGCTGAAGATTGATTTGGCTATTTGGAGTCTTTTGTGGTTATAGGAATTCTAGGACTGTATTTTCTATTTCTGTGTATTTTCATCTGGTAAAAAAAAGCTTTTAATGGTTTACTGACTGAGGACAATCCACCCCTTCTCAATCTAGAACCTGAAGACCGAATCCTCTGAGAACAACAGAGATACTTTCTTGCCATGTACACTCCAGCAAAAACTTCGGGACCTTGAACTTTGGGTTCATAATCTCACAACTGAGAAGGATTACTCCACACTCATAGAACTGCACACCCATTGGAACCCTTAAGGTGAAGCTAACCAGGGAATTTTCTCCCCAGAAGAAGAAGATATTCTTGATATGAACAGCTTTTCCCAAAATCATGGATCAAGATTTCTACTATTATAAGACTCTTATCTTTGAATATTTTTCCCTTGCTTATACCTCTATGAACAATAGAAGTGAAAAGAGGGTCTATTTTGTGCACATATGGGTATACCTTTATTTGTGAATAATTTTGCAGCCAGCCTTATACATAGATAAACTTATATCTTGATAGATGAAAGATGAAGGTGCAATGTAGGTGAGAAACCTTAATGGTATATACAGTGTCACATAGTTAGAAACAGAACATTGGTTCACTCCTCCTAACCCACATCATGAGTTAAAGAGAACATTGCCAGGAGGCCTTCACTCTTCTAGAAAGGCATCATTTGTTAGGTCCTTTTCTTTCAAGGTTTGGATTAAAAAAAAAAAAAAAAAAAAAAAAACGCAATGATTAGAAATGTATCCCTCATAATAGGCTCTATTGCAGACTCTACTATAAAGGCTGTGGTTACACGACAGACTTTAAATTCTCCTTTGAAATAAAATTGCTCTAGATTATAAACTGGCTAAACAGAGAAGTATCTGAGGAACTGCCAGCACTTGTGGCCTATGGAGAAATATATCAAATGTAGATTATAGATATTCAGGTACAGAAGATTAACAAAAAGACAGCTGAGTTAATTGAGTGGCCCCTTATCTAGTTCACTCTTTACTTAACTTTAGGTGGTTTGGTTTATGGGGACCCTGGGTGAGAAGCATATACCAAATTCTTGGTATTATTCTCCTAATAGTCATAATAGATTTCCTGGTACACTGTATTCTCTCAAAAGTTTTAAATGTTTGCATGTAGCCATCTCTAGAATGTCAAATGGTATCTCTTCAACTGGAATGACAAGAGCTGACAGACATGTGTGACCATGAGGACACCATAACCTATGAATGACATGCTGAGACTCGAAACCCAAAATGGTGGTAAGTGAAAGTGGTGTTAAGGCCTTAAATTTTGGTCACACTCTCACCTAAGTGAGAGCCTGACCAAAAGTGGGGAATTTTTAAACAAAATTATGGGAGACCATTGTTTTGGACTGAGCTCATGCACTAGGTCGCAACAGACCAGACCAAACCAAAGTGGAGTCACTCATGCTAAATGTGGCATATTCAAACTAAGACTTCAAGGAAACAAATAGATCCTAAAACAGACCAGGTATTGTTTTTCTCTCCCGTAAAGAGGACATTGCAGCATAAAGAAGTACCCTCTACTTTAATCCTTTCAAAAACAACAACAAAAATAACCGGAAGTCCTTACTCCTACCTTACAAAACCCACTGTTTTGCTATTTTCCAGTGGATTTCAAGGCCAAATAAGTACATTAATGACAGCGATAGTAACATCAATGTCCAAAGTTTTGGTCAGTCTCTCAAAATTGAGAAGATAACCAAAACGGGGGGGAATTGTTAAATCAGGTTTAGCCTAAACCTGCCTCCTTACATGTTTAAGTTGGGCCTAAATGTTTCTCTGTACATCGTGAACTATAACAAGTGAAGGTGTGACCAGACCCGTAGCCGACACTTGTGTCAATCACCAAGTTTTGGCCCGTCAAATGTAGCCAACTGTTCAAACTGTGTTCAAATAAGAAACATCAATCCATAACAAATCCGGATGCTTCTGTACCTCACTTCCATTTTCTGTACATCACCTTCCTTCTACTTTCCATAAATCATCTACCACATGGCTGTGTGGAGTCTCAGAGCCTATTCTGGCTCAGGAGGCTGCCCGATTCACAAATCCTTCATTGCTGAATTAAACTCCTTTAAATTTAATTTTTTTTCTTTTATCACCCCCAAAATATTTCAACGGAAATAATTTAAATAATTTTTTTAGAGACATAAAAACTATGTTATCAGGATCACTTAACAAGACATCACTCAAAAAGGGACACAAGTTTAGGTTTTTCAACCTTTTAATCTCTATTGAGAGTGGTTTAGAATAACGAAGTGAAAGGGATTGAAAAAAATAAAAACCTTATCAGTGCTATATTTTTTTCTTTGTGGGTTTCAAATTTCTTTCTCTCAGGTATGGAGAAATTATTTTTTTTGTTAAGTGCTAACATTTTCATTAGGAAATCAGAAGTAAGGACACATAACTTTTTCCCTTAGGGCTATTTGTATACACGCTAATGGATACATTTAGGAACAGAGTAATCATTGATTAAAAAAAATAGCTGGTATTGATCTATGCCATAAATGTTCTCAAAGTTCATTTAAAAATGCATTACCTATTCTGGTTTATTCACGTTTAGGAAATTCTATTTTAAATGGAACACTGGCCAATCATCTGATTTGATGCAGTTTCGTGTACCCCCCCAGAGAGGACATGTCCTTTAGTCAGGGTACAGATATTTCCCTGTAGTTTTTACACCTTCTGCAATAGCTCATGGGCTGGACCTATTGGCAGTCAGCTTTTGATAAAAATGAGACTCATAAACCCCAAATACTTGGCTTCCATGATTGCTACCTGTTTGCTTTGAACATGACAACTGAGCAGGCCCTAATGCCTTCCCTTTACCATTAAAGCCATATAGTCTGTACATGTTTTTTTTTTTAAACCTTCATAATAAGTTCAGGGGTACAAGTACAGGTTTGTAACATAGGTAAACTTGTTGTATAGATTATTTCATCACCCAGGTATTAAGCCCACTACCCATTAGTTGTTTTTCTTGATTCTCTCCCTCCTCCCATCATCCACTCTGTGTGGTTCCTCTCTATGTGTCCATGTATTCTCCCATAACAATCTGTTTTATATCCCACTCCTGCAGAGTTCTGTTTTAAGATCTTTGGGAACCTCTTCTTTTAAAATTTGTGTGTTATCTACAAACCTCTTTCACATGCAATGTCTCATTTATGTTATTTCGAAAGATCTTGCTATCTGGGAGGTATCATGTATATCTTACTGATCTTCATGCCTCAGCTTACAGAGATCTAGTGCCATGCCTGAGGACACAAAGCCAGTTGTTTTACAACTGGAAGACAAATCTGACTCAAAGTTTAATAAGTGTGTGTGTGTGCACATATGTGTGCATTTGTTTCCTGCTGTAGCCAAGATTCTTGACCCTTTTATGTTGGCAGCGTTCTTTGAACACTGGAGCATTACTTCCCCTTCTTCATGGGATTTAAAAAAGAGCTCGAAGCAACACTAAAACATGTCAGCATAATTGCCAAGAGATAACAACCACAGTAAAACAGTGTTTCACATTGTCTTTAAAAGCATCTCTATTTACTTACTACTCACCCTGTGGCCTTTTAGCACCATACTGCATTTGAGCAGAACTGTTAACTGCCCTTATATATTCACAAGGAAATGTTCTTGCATGCTCTTCAAAAACAAAACAAAACAAAAACAACCAAAAAAGTTTTGCAACAGGCTTAGTTTTTCAGCACACTAACAACTCTTAATACCAGCAAATTATACCCTCCTCCTCTGCTCTGCGCCTGATATTTCCATAACACACATACACATACACGCACAATTTGTTATCATCTCCAGTATTTTTTAAATTGATAAAAAATTGATAGTTCACCTTTAAGAAGACTACGGTACAACAAGGGAGCAGGAACACCGGTTTAAAACCTCTATGGTAGGACATGGTTCAATTAAATATCCTGTCAAAAAGCGATCTGGAAATTAAGGCGTTTGATCTCGCTCATTAAACGGATAAATTCTGATGGCAGGTTTAATGTAATGCCTATACAGCTAGAATGTTCTAAGAGAAGGAGATTAGTGATTTACTAAGTCACTTCTTCCTTGGCTGTGAAAATGCTTTTTCTGCAATTTTTTTTTTTCAGCTCAGGCTTGCAATGGATTTGTACTTTAGGAGAAAGCACCCTTTCTAAATAATATTTCTTCCAAAACTACCATCATGACCAGCATTTCAGTGACTAGAAATTCTTTCATCTTAGAAATTCTTTCGTAAGTTGATTCTTATTATACTCTCCAGTGCTAAATAAAGGGAAAGCCACAAATGGAACTTTACTGAAAATGCTATATAACACTAATAGCATTAGTTATGTGACGTGATATGTGCCAGACACTGTTTTAAGTTATTTGCATATATTAACTCACAACAATTCTGTGAAGTCAGTATATTTATTATGGTCCCTTTCCAGATGGGAAAACTCAGGTATAAGGGAAATGTGTGATTGACTAAACAGCAGTGCAACCAGAGTTTGAATCCAGACATTAGGAATCTAAGGTCTTGGTATTTAGGCTTTACATAAAAACAATTCAAAAGGGAGGCTGGGTGCAGTGGCTCAGACCCATAATCCTAGCACTTTGGGAGGCCGAGGTGGGTGATCACTTGAGACCAGGAGTTCAAACCCAGCCTGGCCAACATGGTGAAACCCAGTCTCTACTAAAACTACAAAAATTAGCTGGGTGTGGTGGTGCATGTCTGTAGTCCCAGCTACTTGGGAGGCTGAGGCAGGATAATCGTTTGAACCAGGGAGGCAGAGGTTGCAGTGAGCCGAGATCATACCATTGTACTCCAGCCTGGGCAACAGAGCAAGCCTCTGTCACAAACAAAACAAAGCAAAAATTTAAAAGAGGAAAGAGAGAGAGAAAGACAGATGAGAAAAAATAAAATAAAAAATTTAAGAAATGAAAAAGTTTGTCATCTAAGCTATAGGATGATGATTTTATTTTGTTCTCACTGATACTAGCCTTGATTCTATTCCCCTTTCATTATGAGGAACTGACCCAGAAAATTCATAGTTTGGGACTGTGTGTTTGTAGACTTTTGATACAGAAGTGAAAACATGTCCGTGACAGCTCAAATATTATTTGAAGATTCAAAGTGAAAATCCAAGCACCAAAGCATCTTTTGCTTCCTTCTCACCCACAACACCATGGGGAGAACCCCCGGCTATTTTTTGAAAGGTGAATCACAATGTCTACCTGTTCAAGAGTGTTCACCTTTCTACTCAGCTTGTAGTAGGAGGCTGGTTCCTGATTGGAAAAAGCAGATATGACTGTTTTATAGTCCATTTTAAAGTCAAAGAGGACCCACACAATGCCAAATGTGTGCTACTATAATAAATCTGCCATTTATTTCAGGAAGCACTGAAATTTAAGCTCTTTACTGACATGTACCAGAGCTTGATTAGCTACCTTAGATGAGCTTTTACACTAAAGTTTTTATTCTGTAATTACATAGAAAATAGCTTTCACACTTATGCCAAGATACTAAGTTCTATGTCAGCTGTTAAATTTCAGCCACCAGTGTGGGAGGTAACACTAGCTGTAATGTTAATGGCTGTTAAAAGTTAATGTTTAATAGCTTTGAAAATAGAAATTAAACTTGAAAAGTCTATGCAGATACCTGGAATGTGGATGGATTTCTCAAGCTTCAAGTGAAGAAAAATATTGACAATTTTTCAGTGAATTTATAATGATGGAAAGGGAAATCATTCGAGTCAAGTATCATCTTTGATGAGTGATCGTCACCTTCATGAATGATCCTAAAAAACTATCTATATTGATCAAGTATAGCAAAATATTTCAGAAGTTTGCACCTCATCACTGTGAATTTTGTTGACAGAGTTATAATTCATTTAACCCCCAAATAATCTTTGGTTCAATAGACAATGAAGGCTTTATTTAATATTGATGCAATTTATGACTTGACTCTATACTTAACAGTAGTTCCCATGTTAATTAGAAGGAAGATAACTGAATTACATTTAAAAACATTTACTGTACTTGATCATCATAAGTTGGGGACCCTTGTTTCAGTAGCCTATATATTGGGCTGCTTTTAAAATATCACATTATCTTCATGAAAAGTAGTGGCTGCTTTTTCACAGAAGTCATTTTTCATAATTCAATCTCTTAGTTATTACATAGTGTTTCTCCCCAAGTGCCAAAAGAAATGAGAATATATTTTTATTTCATGGTTCTTATTAAAAGCTCATTTTCTTGGACAAATAAGATAGTGTTTAAGTCATTGGGTCAGTAGACATAGTTATTGTGGATTTAGAATATTTAATCGAAAAGATTGGTTAATATGAACTCATGCATTGAAATATAGCAGTTCTCTTAAGAATTGCTACAAGATCTAAATAAACATTATTTTCTTTGAAAAGGCTAGTACTCCTGAAAATACTCAGAAAATAATTTATAAAATATGCATCTAGAGCAAAGTGTAAATGGCAAAAAATGGTTCAAATTTCCCATGTTACCAAATGGATTAGACTGTTGTGTTATCCAGTATCCATGATACTTTTGTATCATGCCACTTGTTTTATACTAAAAAAATTCTAAAAGAGTATTTAAAATACTCTGAAGGAAAAAACGTTTCTGCACATAAAGGTATTTATTGAAGGATACCTGGTTGCCACTTTTTCACTGTCATATAATTACATATGCCAAGAGGGTGCAAGTCAAGCTTAATAAGATAATATTTAAAATGGAATATTGTATGACCAATAAAATATACACATATTGAGGTGATACTGAAACACAAAATAGACTGAAAAAGAAATACTGAAAAATGACATTAAAATTATATTTACACTAAAATAAATTTTTAAAGTTATATATTCATATGGACACTAAGAGACCACCACCAAATGAAAGCTTTTGAAAAGACAGGTAAATTTTTTCACCTTTCTTAATGAAGAATTTAATTACTGCTATTGCAGTTCTCATTACATCCTATAATATAAAGAAAATATGTAGAAATAATAGAAATCTTTAAATCATTCTCTCTCCTCTTTATTATTTGTTGCCCTGATGGCATGTTAGAGTAATGAACAAAGAGATAAGAAGGAAGATCTTATTGAAATTATAAAGTTACAAATACCCGTATATAGAAACATCTATCTAGAGATATATAGACAGAAACAAAGATAGATAGATGACAGATAGATCGATGATAGATAGATAGATAGATAGATAGATAGATAGATAGATAGATAGATAGATGGTGCTGGGAAATGCAATGCAAATCTTCCCAAATACCCCTTAACTCTTTGAGTTGTATAATTTACTTGTCCACTGAATGTTATCAGGAAAATACAGTTATATTGAAATAATTTAGAGAAAAATTTAAAAAAATAACTGACTTTTATTGTTTTTTAATTTTTAATTTCTATGGGTACATAGTAGGTGTATATATTTATGGGATATATAAAATAGTTTGATACGGCATATACTGTGGAATAATTACATCAGGGTAAATGAAGTTTCCATCATCTCAAGCATTTATCCTTTCTTTGTGTTAAAAACAATCCAATTATACTCTTTTAGTTATTTTAAAATGTACCATAAATTACTGTTGACTGTTCTCACCCTTTTGTGCTATCAAAAACTAGATATTATTCATTCTATCTAACTATATTTTTTGTACCCATTAAGCATCCCCACTTCCCCCACCCCCTGCCACTACCCTTCCCGGCCTTTGGTAGACTTCATTCTACTCTCCATCTCCATGAGTTCAATTCCTTTAATTTTTTAACTCCCACAAATAAGGAGATCATGCAAAGTTTGTCTTCAGTTCCATCCATGTTGTTATAAGTGAGAGAATCTCATTTTTTTATGGCTTAGTAGTATGACATTGTGTGTATGTACCATATTTTCTTTACCCATTTGTCTGTAAATGGACACATAGCTTGCTTCCTAATCTTGCTTATTGTGAATATTGTTGTAATAAACATGGGAGGCAGATATCTCTCTCTTCGATACACTGACTTCCTTCCTTTTTGGTATATAGCTAGCAGTGGGGTTGCTGGATTATATGGTAGCTCTATTTTTAGTTTTCTAGGGAACTTCCAAACTGTTCTCTATAGTGGTTGTACTAACTTACATTCCCACCCACAGTGTAGATGGGCTCCCTTTTCTCCACATCCTCTTCAGCATTTGTTATTGCTTGTCATTTGGATAAAAGCCATTTTAACTGGGGTGAGATATCACATTGTAGCTTTGATTTGCATTTCTCTGTTGATAAATGATGTTGAGTACCTTTTCATACACCTGTTTACCATCTATATGTCTTTTGTTTTCAAAAATGTCTATTCAGATCTTTAGAACGTTTTTCAGTGAGATTATTAGTTTTTTTCCTATAGAGTAGTTTGAACTCCTTATCTAATCTGGTTATAAATCCCTTGTTAGAAGGGTGGGTTGCAAATATTTTCTCCCATTCTGTGGGTTGTTTCTACAGTTTATTTATTGTTTCTTTTGCTATTCAGAGCTTTTAAACTTGGTGTGATCCCATTTGTCAATTTTTGCTTTGGTTGCCTGTGCTTGTGAGATATTACTCAAGAAATCTTTGCCCAATTCAGTGTCCTAGAGCTTCCCTAATGTTTTCTTATAGTAGTTTTATAGTTTGAGGTCTTACATTTAAATCTTTAATTCATACTTAGTTGACTTTTACGTACAGTGAGAGATAGGGGTTAGTTTCATTCTTCTACCTTATGGATATCTAATTTTCTCAGCAACAATTATTGAAGACACTGTCCATTTCCCAATATATGTTTTTGGTGTCTTTGTTGAAAATTAGTTCACAGTAAATGTATGGATTATTTTCTGGGTTCTCTATTCTGTTCCTTTGGCCTATGTGTCTATTTTTATGCCAGTACCATGCTGTTTTGGTTACTATGGCTCTGTAGAATATTTTGAAGTCACATAATGTGATTCCTCCAGTTTTGTTCAGGATAGCTTTGGCATTCTGTGTCTTTTGTTGTTCCATATAAATTTTTGTATTGTTTTCTTCTATTTCTGTAAAGAATGCCATTGATATTTTAATAGAGATTGCATTAAATCTGAAGATTTCTTTGAGTAGAATGGACATTTTAACAATATTGATTCTTCCAATCCATAAACATGGACTCTTTCCATTTTTTATGTCCTTTTGAATTTCTCACATCAGTGTTTTATACTTTTTACTCTGGAGCGCTTTCGATCATTTTATTCTTAGATATTTTATGTTATTTGTAGCTATTATAAATGGAGTTACTTTGTAGATTTCTTTTGCAGACTGTTTGCTGTTGGTATATGGAAATGCTACTGACTTTTATTTTGCAAACTTATTGAATTTATCAGTTTGAATATTTTTTTGGTGGAGTCTTTAGGGTTATCCAAACATAAGATTACATAATCTGCAAAGAAGGCTAAGTTGACTTTTTTTCTTTCCAATTTGGATGCCCTTCATTTAATTAACTTGTCTGATTGCTCTACCTAGGACTTTCAGGATTCTGTCAAATAATAGTTGTTAAGGTGGGCATCCTTGTTTGTATTCCAGATATCAGAGAAAAGGCTTTCACTTCTTCTCATTTCAATATGATACTAGCTGTGGGACTGTCATATATGGTTTTTACTGTGTTGACAGATGTTTCTTCTACACCTATTTGTTGAGGGTTTTTATAAAGGGATGTTGAATTTTATCAAATGCTTTTTCAGCATTTCATTTCATTGAAGCATTTTGTTGATATGGTATACCAGATTGATTGATTTGCATATGTTGAACCATCCTTGCATCTTTGGCATGAATCCCAGTTGGTAACAATGAATGATTGTTTTTTAAATGTGTTGTTGAATTTGGTTTGCTATTATTTTGTTGAGGATTTTTGCATCATGAACATTGGCCTACAGTTTTCACTTTTTGATGTGTCTTTGTGTGGTTTTGGTAGCAGAGTAATACTGGCCTCACAGAATAAGATTGGAAGTATTTTCTCCTTTTTTTGTAATAGTTTATATAGGATTGGTGTTAATTCTTCTTTAAATGTTTTGTAGAATTCAGCATTGAAGCCATCAGGTCCTGGGTTTGTGCAGGGGGAGACTTTTATTATGGCTTCAATCTCATTACTTGTTATTGGTTTCTATAGGTTTTGGATTTGTTCATGATTCATTGTTGGTAGGTTGCATGTGTCTAGGAATTTGTCCATTTTTTATAGGTTTTCTAATTTACTGGCAAATCGTTCCTTATAGTGGCCTCTAATGATCCTTTGAATTTCTGCACTATCCAGTTTTAATGTCTCATTTTTCATTACTGATTTTATTTGAGTCTTCTCTCTTTTTCTCTTAATCTGGATAAAGGTTTGTCAATTTTGTCTATCTCTTCAACAACTCCAATTTTTGTTTCATTGATCTTTTGTATTATTTATTTCAATTTATTTATTTCTGCTCTGTTCTTTATTATTTATTTTCTTCTGCTAATTTGGGGTTTGGTTTGCTCTTACTTTTCTAGCTCCTTAAGATGCATTGTTAGGTTGTTTATTAGAAGTTTTTCTACTTTTCTGATGTGGGAACATTTAGCTATAATAATTTCTCTGAGTATTGCTTTTGCTGTATCCCATAGCTTTTTGTATGTTGTGTTTCCATTATCATTTGTTTCAATAAATGTTTCAATTTCCTTCTTAATTTCTTCATTGATCCACTGGTCATTCAAGAGCATATTGTTTAATTTCCATGTTTTTGTATAGTTTTCAAAATTCCTCTCGTTATTGATGTCTGCTTTTATTCCACTGTGGTCAGACAAGATACTTGACATAATTTCAATAGTTTTGAATTTTATAAGACTTGTTTTGTGGCCAAATATGTGGACTCCTTTAGAAATAGTCATGTGCTGAGGAGGATAATGTGTATTCTGTAGTTGCTGGATGAAATGTTCTATAAATATCTGTTAAGTTCCTTTGGTCTATAGTGCAGATTATATCCAATATATCTTTGTGGATTTTCTGCCTGGTCTGTCCAATGCTAGAAATTCCAGCCACTATTGTATTGGAATTTATGTCTCTTTTTAGCTCTAACATGCTTTATCTTTTCCTTTAGCTCTAATACGCTTTGTATATTGGGTGCTCCAGTGTTGGGTGCATATATATTTAAATTGTTATATCCTCTTGCTGAATTGACCCCCTTATCATTATATAATGACCTTCTGTGTCTCTTTTTATATTCTATTTTATATTCTATTTTTCTGTGTACTTACTATTACTAGCAAGTTTTGTACCTTCAGATGATTTCTTACTGCTCATTGACATCCTTTTCTTTCAGACTGAAAAACTCCCTTTAGTATTTCATGTAGAACAGATAAGGAGTTGACAAAACCTCTCAGATTTTGTTTTTCTGGTCTTTATTTCTCCTTCATGTTTGAAGGACATTTCTGCTAGATATATTATGTTAAGATAAAATATTTTTTTTCTATGGCACTTTAAATATGTCATGTCACTCTCTCGGCCTGTAAAGTTTCCACTGAAAAGTCTGCTGTCAGACTTATTGGAGCTTCATCATGTGTTACTTGTTTCTTTTCTCTTGCTGCCTTTAGGATTCTTTCTTTATCCTTGACCCTTGGGAGTTTGATATTTCTTGAGGTAGTCTTATTTGGGTTAAATCTTTTTGGTGTTCTATAACCTTCTTGTATTTGAGTATTGATATCTTTCTGTAGGTTTAGGAAGTTATCTGTTATCACTTTGAATAAACTTTCTACTCTTATCTTTCTGTCTACCTCCTCTTTAAGGCTAATAATGTCTAGATTTGCCTGTTTGAGGGTATTTTCTAGGCCTTGTAGGCAGACTTCATTATTTTTTATGCCTCTTGCTTTTGTCTTCACTGACTGTATTTTCAAAAGACCTGTCTTTAAGCTCACTGATTTTTTTCCCTCTGCCGGATCAATTCTGCTGCTAAGAGATTGATCCATTTTTCAGTATGTCAATTGCACTTTTCAACTTCAGAATTTTTGCTTGATTTCTTAAAATTATTTCAATCTCTTTGTTAAATTTTTCTGATAGGATTCTGAATTCCTTTTCTTGTTATTTTGAATTTCTTCATAGTTCCTCAAAACAGCTATTTTGAATTCTCTTTTTGTAAGGTCACATATCTGTCTCTCCAGGGCTGGTCCCTGGTGACTTATTTAGTTCATTTAGTGAGATCATGTTCCCCTGGATGGTCTTGATGCTTGTATATGTTAATCATTCTCTTGGCATTGAAGAGTTAGGAAATTATCATAGCCTTACAGTCTGGGCTTGTTTGTACCCATGCTTTTTGGGAAGGCTTTCCAGGTATTTGAAGGAACTCGGGTGTTGCAACCTATCAATTTTTATTTTAGATTCCTGATGTACATGTGCAGGATTGTTACATGGGTATATTGTGTGAGGCTCGGGTTTCAGGTATGGATCCTGTTGTCACCCAGGTAGTGGGCATGATACTCAATAGGTAGTTTTGCAGCCCATGCCTACCTTCGCCCCTACCCATCTTGTAGCCCCCAGTGTCTATTTTCCCTTCTTCATGTCTATATGTGCTCAATATATAGCTCCCATTTATAAATGTGAACAAACAGTATTTGGTTTTCTGTTTCTGTGTTAATTTTGCTTAGGATAATGGCCTTTAGCTGCATTAATAATGCTTCAAATGACATGATTTTTTTCTTTCTCATGGCTGCATAGTATTCCATGGTGTATATGTACAGCATTTTGTTTATCCAATTCACCATTGATGGTCACCTAGATTGATTCCATGTCTTTATTATTGTGAGTAGTACAGCCATGAGCATATTAACATACATGTCTTTTTTGTGGAGCAATTTATTCCTTTTTGGATATGTAACCAATAATGGAATTGGTGCATCAAATAATTGTCTTTTATGCTTTTTGAGATCTCTCCACATTCCTTTCCACAATGGCTGGACTAATCTATATCCCCATCAACAGTTTAAAAGCATCCCCTTTTCTCCACAGTCTCACAGCATTTTCTTTATCCAATTCACCATTGATGAGTGCCTAGGTTGATTCCATGTCTTTGTTGTTGTGAATAGTGCAGCAATAAACATATAAATCTATGTATCTTTTTTGTGGAACAATTTATTTTCCTTTGGGTATGTAATCAATAATGGGATTGCTGCATCAAATGATAATTGTCTTTTGTGCTTTTTGAGGTCTCTCCACATTGCTTTCCAAAATGGCTGAACTAATTTTCATTCCCCTCAACAGCTTAAAAGCATCCCCTTTTCTTCACAGCCTCACCAGCATCTGTTACTTTTTGCATAGAGAAAACATTTTTTTAAAAAAAATCCCAATGTCTTACATAATGTTTCAGAAGACTTCTTGCATAAATCCAGAGATTTGGAGACAATATGTTTTATCTCCTCTAGTCAGTCTTGTGACTATGAAGTCAAGTCTCCTTACTAGTTGAGTAAAGATATGCTAATTTAAACAGTGATTAACAAAATACAAAGTTTATGAAAAGTTAGAAATAATCTCTAAGTGCCCACCCCAGAATAAATCTGCAATATACTATAGAATAGTGTTGGGAACTTTTGTTGCCAGGATACAATGTCATGGCTTTGATTTAAAGCTCTCAGCTCTGGCAAAAATTAAATTTAAGTTCATTAAACTAAGCACAGTGTGTTGAATACAGATCAGCTCATTACTGAGCATCAACTCAATCATTGATGAGAGCTCTTTGAAAGGCCCATCATTATAACATAGAATGTCATTTTATTACCAGACAGTAACTGCCTGATTAAAATCTTAAATGGATGGGGATCACTGAGAAGCCATATTGAAAGTATCTTCCAGCTGATTATTAAAGTAAAGAATGCACTAAAGGGAAATATTAGTGAAAATAGCTAATTTTCTCACCTTAATGTCTTTCATGTGTGTCCTCTCCTTTCCATTTCTACTGGCATACCCTTAATCCAAGATGTCATTTTCACTCTTTGATTATTGCAATAGCTTTCTTAAAATCTGGCCTTATTGCTTTTATATCCCAACTCTCTTCAAGTATATGCTAAGTAAACTGTTACAGAAACATTTTCAAAGTCTATTTTTAAAAATATGTCAAATATTTGCTTAAAACCTTTTGACAGATGTATAATGACAAATAAAATTCACCAAATTAGAAGGTCCAAGGCTCCCTTTAATCTGAATACTATTTATTTTTCTATTTTTAATCCTGTAGACTTTTCTAGAAAATAATTGTGTATACCTATAATGGACTACTTACTTTTCATGTTATTGCCTTTTCTATTCTATTCATTAGTCACATACTTTCCACTGTTTAAAATATTCTTCTTTTCATTGCTAAATGTTGACATCTTAACCATCTTTTGGGCATGTGTTTGCCTATTAAAACATGCCCTTTTTTTCCTCTCTAGAATCTGTCATTTTCTATATTTTTCCTAGAGCGTTTTGCTTTCATCTTTGCTATCACAATTGTTACACTATATCTTTCTGATAGTTTAGAAATAAGCCTATATATTATATAATGTCATGTTTTTGTTTTATTTATTAGATTTTAACTGATACAAGAAAATGTCCATGTGCTATTCATTTTATATCTCCTCAAACTCCTTGAACGATTCCTAACAGTAGTAAAACTGTAATATCAGTTTATTCAGTAAGGTAGAGAATTACTATTTTGAGTCACCTTAGTACCATTAAGATTCTTTGTAATTAACTACCATTGTGATGGTTACAAAGCCATACATACATTTATAAACCCATGAGCACAGTAATAATTCAGGCTGGAATTCAAATTTCAGTTTTATTTTATAGTGCTTACAGGATTTATGATAACTTATTAATCTGTTGAAAATTTTTTATCTTTCAAATGGAATACAAATATTCTAGTTGTATGGATTCAACAAGATGTTACATGTAACGTGTTCACGACATTGAAGCCAGTTAAAAACTAGTTATCCTCTTTCACTTTCCTTCCCCTTTTCACTTTTACACAGAGAAGGGTCATATTTCATGGCAAAGCTAAAGTTGACAAAATTCCCCTTGGATTTTGAAGTTCATTGTTTTGTAGCTCACTGACATTATGTGAGTCACAGTGTGCTCACAGCTTCAAGACAGAACCAGCAATGTGTCTCATGAAACAAATAAGATGTTAGATTATTTCCAGTGAATGCCTTTCTAAGTTTACTCAAGACTGGGTTCTGTCTTTGCTGATATCAATCATGGAATCATTTTCTGCACTGCCAAAACTAAACTCTTTTTAAATTTCTTTTATATTGTCACATGATTTGAAAGAATAAAACAACAAAATGATTGGGGGGTAGTTGAAATCAGAATTAAATCCTTATTCTACCTCCCTGAACCCTACCATCACCATGGAGCTGCCAAAATTTCACAGTTCTGAGAATAAGCTATTATCCCTATGGTTATTGGAAGACAGTTCTTAGCACAAAGCAAATGGATAGAATGCAGAATATGTCTAAACAACTTAAAAATAGGTATTTAAAATATTCTTTTTTTGAGGGAATTAAATATAGGCTGTAACTTAGTAGGTAAGGGAGCCTGGTATTTATTCAAGGGGAGGTAGAAAAGTATTCAACTATGGGGAAAATGAAATTGCCAAGACTAAGAGAGAAGGATGGCTGATTCAGTCAGTGGGGGCACACATAGCAACTACTTCTATCCAGAGGCCCTAATGATTCAAGGTTATGTGAAGTGACAACTCTGGAGATTTGGAGATTGAGTTCCCTGCCATTGGACGATTAAGAAAAATCCTCACTTCTCATCCACTTAGTCCTCTATCTTAAAACTAAGTAATCCCTGGCAGCTCACTTCCAATGGCAAGATTCAGTCATGAGATCTTGTATGGAGATTTCTAAAGCAAAAGCATGTTAACTTTTCTCTAGTTGACCAGAGGCAACCTTCTATTTGAAGCTTACAATGGCTGCTATAGGGTGTGTATTGATAAGAACTGCATGCATTGTTGAACAAACATAGTTAAGTATTGTTAATATTATCCACATGATATGTATAACAAGAAATATTAGCCTGCATAAGTTATTTCAAGTTTAATGTAATACTTAGCTAAGTTTGATTAATGTATGCACTTCTGTGATATACATTTGATGGCATCAACTTAGAACTTCCAAGACCCATAATGGATTTGGGGGCAACTTTATAGTGCTTTCTTAAGAATTAATAATTAAGGATTGAAAGGGAGCATTAATTATTGTATCTGAGAATAATGAGATTATTTAACTATAAAACGTACATACATAATAGGTATAAAATATTGAATTATTGATGTGATTTTTCTCTTTTGAATTTTGTAGCACCTTATCTTTGCCTTATTTATATTATTCATTTCTTGGTGGTTAGGGTAGACATCACATCATGATGTGTATAATATAAGAAAAAATGTAGAAAGAACTATGGAGTTTTAGGTATTTCTCATTCTATCCTATGTAGATTAATAAGGGCCAGATCTATGGTTTTATTCAAAAGTTTGAAGAAGGTTAATAGAATAAAAAGGAGGAGGAGGAATCAGTGTCCATGGCATCAGCTGGAAACCCATTATTTTACATTTCTAAGAAAAAAATAGGAGAGCAAAGACAAGTCTTGTCCTTTTGATAAGTTAAGGTAATATCTAGAACAGAGATATTCTATTGTTTCTACCCCATATTTAGGAATCTAGAATGTGTTCCTTTCTACGCTAACCAAAAGAGGATGGGGTATGCACAGCTGGGTCTGGCTGAAGGTGGCATTTCCAAAAGCTTATCTTGAACTTAGAGGAACAGAGAGGGAAACAAGAATTTTCTGAGAGTATGGCTGGAATATCTTGGAAAAGTGATGGAAGGCGGAGCCACCAGCGAGGTACCAGGTAGTGACTTCGTAGGAAGAACTGTAAAGAACCCTGGAAGAAAATAGAAGGCACAGCCAGAACCCAGAGGATTCTATGAGCCCAATAGTCAACCATGGATAACTACTGGTTTCTGACCAAAGTTTAATATACCCAATTATATGGTATATGCTGTAGACTCGGAGATGAAAGCAAAGTGGATCAGTAACATCATCTTAAAAGCATGAGGAAAATACAGTGCCAAAGCCTAATGCTATGAAGACTTAAAAGCCATACTCCTGAACATGTGAGCCTGATATCATTTGAACAGAGTGTTGGGATGCAAAAGGCTGCTTGTACTATAGGTTTGTTCTCAGCTTTAATCATGATAGAAAAGTTACTGATTTTTTATCACAACAAATTACATTTTTTTTCATGCCTAGTATTTATTCTGAGTTAAATCTGTGATCCCAATGAACATGAGTAAAACATGCAGATATTTTAATAAAACTAAGTTCCACTAGAAGGGCATATGACACACTAGATACTGTTTTTGCTTTAACTTTTTAATATGAAAACTTTTATTTTTAGTGTTCTTATGAAAGTATTTTTAATACCCTTATGCAGTATTCTTGCAACAAATCTACATAACTGCATATTAACTGAACTAAAGTAATGGGTACTTCCATAGAAAAATAAAAGTAGATACAATGGGTAAGTAATCCACCAATGGACAATAAAAATATATGACAAATATATTAAAATTTATACAATTTATTATTTTAAAAAGAAATTCAATTTAAAATTAATTACTAAATTATAATTTGCAATATTGTAAGCATAAAAATAATATTCAGTCTCCTATCAAAAACTATGACATAAACTCATACAGCATTTCTAAAGAGCAATTTTGGAATACGTCTCAAAAGCATTTTAAAGGTGCTTATACTTTCATTTGGAAAGTGCACGTTTAACAATGTATTCTTAGAAAGTAATATTTAGTAAATAATAGTCATTTTAATGTTTCTTTTACATAGCAATATAATTATCTAATAGTAGGAGACAGGTATATTAATAGTTCATACTTCTATGCAAAATTCTTCAGCAATTCACATCTTGTTTAAGAAAAATACAGTGTTTGGAAAGTGATGTATTACAGTAGGTTATAAAAATTATGTGCTCCATGGTATTTTGTGCACTTAAATGAGATAAAAATGATAGGGTTGCAAAACAAAATGTGGAAGGGGTAAAGGGCCTAAATTGTTGTAAGATACCTGTGTTAGATGGGAAGTGGTAAAAGTACTAATTCAAGGTAGGACCCTAATATGCCAAGGATACATATTGTAACACCTTCAGCAAATGAGAAAAATAATTGAAGGTATAATTAATAAACTAATAAGGAAGAAATATAGTCATGCAATTAAAATTGGTTGCGAATATAAGGCAAATTGTTTGTATCCCAATATTTGAATTGTATAACATGGCATTCTGGTAATCCCATCGTGTGGCACCATGTTTTCCAAGGTTTTCTCCCATTATGCTGTCTCTTTCCTTGTGTGTATTTGGATGTATTCTTCCCATTTAAAGTGCTTCTTTCCTATTTTCACCTTTTATAAATTCAAACCATCCTACAATTTTCAAATGTTTTAAATTATATCACATAGGTGACTTTCAAATCTACTTTTCTTCCATTATCAATGTGGTAAATTATTTCAGATTTTCCCTATCACGCATATTATTAATCTGGGCTAAATGTGTGGGAAATACAAATTTAAATTAAAAAATAACAAAAAAGTTAAAAAGTAGAGGTGGAACTAATATGCTATAAATAATTACAATACAATGTCACAAGAAGGCTGCTAAATAGTCCAGTATGTACACAATGTGGAATATAATGTTTTGAATGAGACATTTTTTAAGAAGGTGAAAGTTGAGAGCAACAGTTAGTTAATACTAACATTTTCTAGTAATGAGAGTGAAATATAATTCACTTGTTTATTTTGATAGGAGAAAATAGTTTGGTTAATTCTGATTTACCAGTAGAATTAATATTACTTGGTTGATTTGTTCATCATTATTGGACTACTGCATACAAGGGATGAGATTATCTTTTTTTTTTTTTTTTTGAGACGGAGTCATGCTCTGTCGCCCAGGCTGGAGTGCAGTGGCGTGATCTCGGCTCACTGCAAGCTCCGCCTCCCAGGTTCACGCCATTCTCCTGCCTCAGCCTCCCGAGTAGCTGGGACTACAGGCGCCCGCCACCACGCCCGGCTAATTTTTTCTATTTTTAGTAGAGACCGGGTTTCACCGTGTTAGCTAGGATGGTCTCAATCTCCAGACCTCGTGATCCTTCCGCCTCGGCCTCCCAAAGTGCTGAGATTACAGGCGTGAGCCACCGCGCCCGGCTGTGATGAGATTATCTTCTAAGCAGAAGATAGTTTCTGGTGAGTCTTCCTGTCTCCTTTTGCCTCCTTTCATCAATAACCTGGCTTCCCTGATTTCTATGTTATTGTTGCATATATAAATTAATTTTGTGATATGGCTGAATAGTCAAATAGTTCTGATTATAGCTTTATCCAGAAATATATCTCTTGAATCTTTATTCTTAGATCCACGCAATGCACCTGATCAAGCAAGATATTACCCATGCCCTTGTCTAGCCTAGGATCATGAGAAATATACACATATGGTACCTATTTCTTCAAAAATATTCATATCTGTTATCCTAAAATCCCTGGCCAGGACATGCCCCGTCATAGGCTTTGATTTATTATTTACTGAATAAATGAATAAGCATAAACAATAAATTGGTTCTTAGGAACATGAGTTTTCAATGTTTGTTTGTTGCTTTGTTGCTTCCAAGGGCACCATCCTAGTCTATCTGTTTCATGAAGGTCTCATAACATAAACTATGTGGATAATGCCCTGGGGATTATGCAGTTTATCAATCCTGTGTGTTTCTGGTAGAAACGAAGGGACATTGCTCTCTGAGATTATACTTTATCAACCCTGTGTGTTTCTAGTAGAAGAGAAGGAATAGCATGATCAAAGTTGGAGCCGGGAAATGTATAGCATCTTTGAATAGTGTGAGTAGTATTGTAAGCTAAAATGCATCACATGGTAGGACAGGGTTAGAAGGATGATTTAGCTTTATTGATAAGGTCTACAGATTCTATACTAAAAAAACTTGAACTTTATCCTTTGGCCTATTGGGAATTATCAAAGTTGTTATGAAAATTATATAATTATATTGATTTAATTTAAAAAACAGTGGAATGATAGATGAATGGTGAAAGAAGGAATGAACACTGGGGTCCTCTTGGGAAGATGATTGCAAAATTTCAAGTGAAATATAGTGAAGCTTTGAATTTGAAAGTGGAAGTGAAATAGAGAAAGAATTACGTCAAGAATGATTTCATCTCTGAAACAAATTTTGAGTGAGATTTTAGGTAAAAAGGATAAGGGAGTTCCTTCAGTGGTGGGGGGAAGATTTTAAACATATTATAATGCTGTTCTCTGTCACTAGGAACAAAAAATGAAGGATGTACAGAAGAATATAAGGAATTCTGTGTTGTAATTTTTGAGCTTGAAGACAGTGAAAAATTAGTATCTAGAGAGAAAGACAGCGGTTTAAAATAGAGATTTTTGAGTCTCCAGTATTAATCATTTAAAAGAATCATTACCTCATAAAACCAAATCATTGTTTTAAGTCAGACTCTATATTCTCCGCAAAGAAATTCCACACTTATCCCACATAACTTAATACGAACATGAATTTCTTTTAAATTTAGCTAGTTTTTTCACACATTTATGTGTTGATCTACAAATATTGCTTATAACCTGAAGTATTAGAATAGCCAATCACACATTTACTGTTACGTTGAGGGAACATAAAGTGTGTATAAACTGGAATCATATCCAAAACCCCAAGTTTGTGTAGTTGTATGTTGAAGGGAAACAGCTTAAGAGCTACCACTTTGTTTTGTCCAAGGTTATTTTTTCAATAGCTGAGCAGCCCTTCCAAAGAGGAATTTTCAGATCTACTTTGCAAACATAGTGTTTATTGGTGGGGTTAAATCAGTTTCTGGGCCAATTTCTAGATACACATAGGCATCTGATCTCAATAGGAGTGGGGAACATGGGAACATTTGAAATTATCCAGAGAAAAAGTAAGTTCTAAACTTTACTCAGTTATCTTTACTTTCAAATCCTTTTCCTGCTGCCAAAATTTTTGACATTTTGAAGTGTCACAGTCATAAAAGGCTAAGAAACACTGATTTTAAAATGTGATGTTAGCATATTCATTATAACACACTTCATACATACAAAATAACAGAATCACATGTAGAAAGGATGGGGGAATAACATTAAAGAGAATCTCTTTTGTGCTGAAAACTATGTTCCGTTGAATTTTGACAGCAATCTCTAATGCATATAAATGCGTGTCTCTATTTTACACAAGAAGGGAGACTGCACAACTAAATAAAGGATCTCAACTTTTATCTTCTCCTGAGTTAAGCTACCCTGTTGCTCATAAGCACTTGTGTAGACTGAAGGAGTTCAGGACATACCACCCCAAAATATGCAAATTTGACATGTTGATTATTTTGAACTTAAGGCACTTGACAAATAGCAGATGCAGGAAGGAAACTCTGACCTCCCTTTTTCTTCTTGAAAGCAGGAAATAAAACTCTTATGTGAAAGATGCTCTCCCTAAACCAGGAGAATAGAACATTCTTATCACCAGAGATGCAGACTGGGGGCTGAGAAAATCTGTATAAACAGAGCTTATTAAAATAACTTTTGTCTTTTTAGTCACATTTATTTTAATTAATTTTCCATAGTTGCCAACCTTTATTCAAACTAACATATAAGCCTTAGGCTTAGCCAGTTCTTTGGGTCTTCATTCTTCTTTTGAAGGCGCTCATGTACATGTAAAAATTACCAAATAAATATTGTATGCTTTTTTTATTTTTAATCTGTCTATGTTAGTCCCTGCCAGAAACCTTAAAAAGGTAGAGGGTACATTTAACCTCCTCTACAAGATAATGATGACCTATACGGTTAGTTTGGCATGTATAAATATGCTAATTCAAATATCTATATTTTAGAATAATGACTTATAAGATTAAGTTGCTAGACTATGATTAATTTACTTGTGTTATAGTTTTAGAATCAAATCATATGTTTTAAGCTGTTTCAATCTATTATATAAGCACAATGAATTCTGTAATTCAAATTACCTTAATAGATTTTCATCTACATTCGTGTATTGCATGCTATAATTTCAGAAATAGGAACTTTTCAAATGGGAATTGGCATTAGAAATAGAACTGTCAGCTGTAGGTCTACTGTGAAAATCTAGAAAAATATGTTCCAATTAATATAGTGTCTAAGTTATGTCCTTATTTTCATAGATTTCTCTCCAAGTGCTAAGTCATTTAAGTATAGTATACTGATTCTTAGAAGCACTTCTCTTTTGCATCTCTCATTAATGAATAATTAGTCCAACATTCTCGTCATTTGGATCTCTGCTTAGTCAACTGTAATTTTCTCAGCAACAAACAAATAAAGGCCAGGTGGAATATATTTAGCTGTGATATGGCCTACATGGTCAGCAGACTCCAGGAAACACTAGAAAAATTTACTTTCTCCCATAATTAATGCAAATAATAATCAGATAGTGTGTTGAATATTTATTTTCTATTTGAAAGGTTATAAAATCCAATAAGTAACTTGAGCATTTGGAAGACTAAAATTGTAACATTCTCTGAATGTTTGTCCTTTTATCCCAATGTTTCCTATTCTACAGAGGCAGGATTAGGGGTTCCTTTGACATTGATCAAGGCTATGGATCTATATCCCAGAAAAAATGTTCATAGCCAAAAATATCTCCAAATAATTTGAGGGAATGATCAAGACATATTGGAGCCTTTGGTTTCAGAATAATTAACACTTTCTTACCTTATCAAAAAATAATTTGTTTCTCCTTTAATTCCTTCATTCAGAGAATATGTATTGAGTCCTAGTATTAAGTATTAAGGAAACTACCATGCATAAGGCAAATTGCATAGCTTTGAAAAGCTCATATTCCGATAAAATAGACCAAAATGAGAATAATTTCAACACAGTGTAAAGAATTCTGTAAAAGGGGAAAAACATTCTTTGTGGGCACAGAGAAACAAGAAACTGATTCCTGGGGAATATCAAAAAGGAAGTGGCATTTGACCTGATTTCTGAAGAATAGCTTACTTTGTTGAGGGAGAATAGATTTCTAAGGGTGACAGCATAAACAAAACTATGGGTTTGTGAAAGGAGAGATTATACTTAAGGCATGGGTTCTTTGATAATACTTTTTCCTACAAAATAGATAAACAATATATAATTGCAAAGTAAACCCTTCATTGGATATATGAAATTAACACACACACACATAAACATATACATATACACAGTGAATTCTATCACTGAGTCATTAAAAACCAATAATAGAATTGGGTCATTACTAAATGGTTTGACTATATTTCATTGACTCTTTGTATAACTGCCTTTAGTAAGTTGCATTTCAATATTATTCATTGGGCTTTGAAATGGAGGTTGTTTAAAATGAAGCAGTTAAGTCTGTTGCTATTATAGAAATATTGTTTGTTGTAGAAATATTATTATAGACCTTGTTTACTATATTACTCCCATTATGAAACTCTACAAGGGAAATTTCACCTACAATTTAATTCTATGTGCAACTTTTTGGATTTCTCTTACAAATATTTGTTTCCTCCTCTTGAAAACATGTATTTACTGATCATGTTTTCATTATTATTCGGCTGTTAGGAGACTCAGAAAATGCAAAGCTTACATATACTTCTACCTTATTTATATTTTAAATAATTTGGATTCCTTATTTGTGTTTAAATTTTACTATCAATTTGTTGTATGTCTTTTTTCTGTGAGCTGTCATGATCCTTTAAGATCAGGGATAGAGTATAGCAAACTAGCTAACAAGCAAAGAAAATATTATGAAAACATTTTACAGTTTATGAGCTTCCTGAGTTCTCCATCTCTAATCTTGTAAATCCTTTAAAATTCTATCTTATGTCTGTATGATATAGAGATAACAAGCATTTACCTTTCATAAATGTTACCTTTTAAAACAGTTTGACATCTCTGTCTCCCTAAAGGTTTTATAGTAAAATTAGGGTAATTTAAATATGGATATTTTAGTGGTTTATAATATATTTTTATTCAATATTTTATGTTTTTAAATTTTACATGCTGCAAGTTAGATGAATACTTCACAATAATTTCTGAAGCATCTATTGCAATGCATGTCAGCACTCAACAAGAATTCTCCCTGGTTTGGATTCTCATGTCACTTTGCAAATAAGCCATTGTCTACCCGTTGGGTAAAAACACATACCTCTGGCTCTTACAGTGAAAATAGTATTTGAAGAGAAATCACTTCTGGGGTTTGAATTATTTAGAAAGGCAAGACACGTGCTCAAAGTCTGTTTGGTTGCTTGACAGAGCTACATGTACATCATGGTGTGTATTGTGTAACAGAGATTGGAGAAGTAAAGAAGGAAATTAAATTAGAAAAGAAGTGATGAGCAATCACTTCTTATTGTGCCAGATAAAGGTAACAGCATTGAAGAGAAGCACTTAACTATTAAAATTTTTTTTTTCTTCTTTCACTTAGCTTCTAGGACTTTTACCACTCATTGGTTTTGGCAACCTGCTCACTGCACTATATTTATCACTCTTCATATAGCTTTTTCCAGTGAGACTGCTTATAGTTTAGTGCCTGTGATAAACAGATGTCTTTCACAATGTCACTTTTGGAAAATTTAGATTCTTGTTCTGAAAGTTTTCTATAAATCAATTCTGCCAAACCTATGGGGATTTAAGAAAATCTTTATTTCTCCTAAAGTTAGATATCACCATATATGATGGAAGTTATTCACAAAATTCATGACTTGCTATGATAATCTAAGATGCTACTGTGACTAACAGCCACATAAATGCTTGCTAAATCTAAAAAGATTAAACATTACCATTATTTCTAACTTAACATTTGTTCTTTGGGAAATGATCATCTGCTTTAGGAAAAGAATAGGCAGGTCCAGGGACCGTCTGCTCATTTTCAATTTGCTAACATAGAAAGACTCTGGGGGAAAAACTCACAATTGTGGATTTAGTCACCAGAAAATAAAAGGCAATATTTTTGTTCCTTTTTGGGATTTTATTTATCTTATTAGTAAAATTGTATTCTTCTAACTTTCAGCCACCTTATGCCTTTTTTTCTCCTTGATATCATCTTAATTATTCCCTTGCCATTATACTAAAATGACTTATCCTGTTTTCCTGTTTTAATTCCTGTTGGGTGAAACCCAAACCCTGGGCCAATCTATTTATCTTTATCATCTGTATATGATGAATACTGAGCCATGCTAATACAACATTATACCAATACAAAGATTGATACCATAAATTCTGTAACCTTACCATTCCCTAGTGATTATTCAGTCTTTATTTTATTCAGTCAACACCTCTCTAGTCATCCAAACATGTTTATTCAGAAGGACACCTCTTTACTATCACTCTAATAAATGAATACAACATACGTTCTTCTTCCTTTAAGTGATAATAGTTAAGGCATCTGTTCTTTTTATGAAGATAGTCCTTTTAGATGTGGTTATGATCCCATAACTTTCTACCCTCTTGGATATCTTGCTCTTTTAAAAAATTATCTTAGTCTCCACTATGATTCTAAGTGAAGTAACTCAGGAATGGAATACCAAACATTACATGTTCTCACTTATAAGTGGGAGCTAAGCTATGAGGATGCAAAAGCATAGGAATGACACAATGGACTTTGGGGATTGAGGGGAAAAGGGTGGGAAGGGTGTGAGGGATAAAAGACTACAAATTGGGTGCAGTGTGTACTGCTTGGGTGATGGGTGCACCAAAATCTCACAAATCATCACTAAAAAAACTTACTCATGTAACCAAACACCACCTGTTCCCCAATAACCTATGGAAATAAAAAAAAAAGGAAAAAAAAGAGCAAAAAGCATTTTAGTTCTGACAAATACTACAAATATAGCCCAGAAAACAACAATGAATAAATGTTATCTTAGCCTCCATATTTTTTATTTCTCCCTTACCAACAGTTTTTTCCTCGCAATAACTGAAGAGTTTTAACTCTTAACTGAAAAAAAAAAACAAAAACAAACAAACAAACAAAAAAAACCCTCACTTTACTTGATTTCAGAGCCCATTCCAAATGCTTTTCTATTGTTTTCTCACTCAGCAAAAACGCTTAAAACACGTCCACACTTGCTGTGTCCACTTTATATTCCACACACCCTTAAACTGACTTTGGTTTGTTACAACCCACTCACAGTGTTCTCACAGGAACTCCAACAACCTTCACGTTGCTACAGTCAATGGACACTTCTCAGGCCTTATGATGATTGTAATGGTTAATTTTGTGTTACTTGCAATTTCCTGTGATCTGTTCCCTGATTGTTCATAATTTCTGTAATAGCATCAGTTCTGGCTCTTCATTTACTATGTCCACAATTGCATTATGTGGTCCTGAAAAGTATTAATAAATAAATAAATATATAAAGTATGCAGGGTAAGCACAGCTTTGGACGGATGTATAGCAAAGCTAAATTTAAATTATATTGCACAAAAGCATATCTAATTTCTGCTGGGTCTAAATATACAACGAATTTAGACACAAACAATAGAAACCAGTAACAGGATGGATAAAGTAAAATTCCAAATGTATGATATTAGGAAGTGAGGACTAAGGAATTAATATAAGATGAATGTAATTAATGTTTAAGGAGTTTGTTCTTTAATTCTTTTTCATGATAACTTTTATAGTTATAATTTACCTACAGTAAAATACAGGGTTCTATGAGCTTTCATAAATGAATATACTCAAATAAACAACACTACAATTAAGATGTAGAATTCCCATCATCTCAGGTGGTTTCTTCATGCCCCATTAAAACCAATTCCCTTGTAGCAGAGACAATTACTGTTCTGACTTTTTTTTTTTTTTTTTGAGACAGGGTCACCCAGACTGGAGTGCAGTGGTGCAATCTCAGATCACCCCAAACTCTACCTCCCAGGCTCAATCAATTCTGCCTCAGCCTCCCAAGTAGCTGGGATGACAGGTGTGTGCCACTACTGCCTGGCTAATTTTTGTATTTTTAGTAGAGACGGAGTTTCACCATGTTGTCCAGGCTGGTCTTGAACTCCTGACCTCAAATGATCCACCCACCTCAGCCTCCCAAACTGGGATTATAGGAGTGAGCCACTACTCCCAGCCCTGTTTTGACTTTTATCACCCAAGATTGGTTTTGTAAGTTCTTGAGTTTCTTAAAAATGGACTCACAAAGCATGTATTTGTGTCTGACTTCTTTCACTTAGCATATTTTTTGCTTTGTTTCTATTATTCCATTATAAGAATAAGACACTCATCTCTTTATGAACGCTTAGTTTTGATCTTTCAGTGATTATAAATAAAGCTTCTATGAATATTCTTACAGAAGTCTTTATCTGTATGTATATTTTCATTTTACTTGGAATAAATACCCAAGGATGAAACTGGTAGGCCATATGCCACACACGTAAATATGCAAAAAAGCATTCCAAATATGTTTTGTCACTTTACAATTTTACGAGACTTATTAATAGATGCCAACATCCCCACCAATATTTGAAATCACCAAATTTTGAAATCTTAGTCACTCCAGTAGATGCAATGTAATAGCCCACTCTGTTTTTTTATTTACATTTCATTGATGATTAATACCATTTAGCACCTTAACTTTTTACTGTGGAAATTTTTAACTCATTTTGTCTTTTATTTTACACATTGTATTGAGTTTGTCTCTTTTTAAATTTGTTTTTAATTGTCAAATAAAAATTGTATATATTGTTTTACTTCGAACTCTACAGCTAGTTCACACTGAGCCACCAGAAACGTGTCAATTAGAGCTGTAAGCGATTCTACAGATATTGACTTCATCTCTGAGGGTTTGTTCTTAGAAAGCTATGATTATATGTATCCACCTATCTGTTTCTGTAGGTTTTGGCCAACAGTTTGCCCTGTAACCTCAATTCTCTGATGCATCTAAGAAAGATTATTGATTTTCCGTATGTTCTTATTCTTTTTGTGAGGATACAAAAAATGACTTCAAAGATCTTTACCTATTGGACTGGAAACTGAGAGTCTATAAATGATATTTAAAAATTTTATTTTCCAAATGGTTTTTGCTAGTATTCAAAATAGTATTTACTTATTTATATTGACTTTTTATTCTGCATCCATACTCTAAGCACTTACATTTTTCTAGTACTGCTTTGGTACATTCTTTAGTATTTTCTATATACAAAATATAAACAAGGACCAATTTACCATTTCTTTTCCAATATTTATATAATATTCCCCCCATTGCTTTGCCTTATTGTATTAGCTTAGATCTCCTGTACAATGGTAAAAAGAGTGAAAAGAACAAATATCTTTGCCTTATTTCTGATCCTAAACTGGGACTATTCAATATTTCACTTAGTATGATGTTAGTTGTAGATTTTTCGTATATGTCTTTCATTAGATAGAGGAAGTTTCCTTCTGTTCCTAACTTTCTAAGAATTTGTTGTTGGTGTCACACTGTGAGTTTTAATCATGATGGGTACTCAACTTTGTGAAATTATTTTTCTCCTTATATTGAGATGATCATGCAACGTTATCCTTTATCCAGTTAATGGAGTAGATTGCAATGATAGGTTATATGTGTGTTGCTTAATTAAAAAAAATGTGTAAGCATTTACTAGATTGTTACTGCTTTCCTATCTAATTCTATTGTGATGAAAGAATATGTTCTGGATGATTTAATGCTTAAAATTTACTTTTAAGTGTGTTTCATAGTCCAGAATGTGGTCAACCTTGATGAATGCTCCATATTCACTCAATGTGTATTGTGCTGTTCTTGGTTATTTGAAGTTCTATAAATGCAAAATAAGTCTAATTGAATAACAACCTTTTTCCATTATTCTATCTTTTTCAGTGTTTTGTCAACTGTTTTGCTAATGACTGAGAGATAAGTGCTAAAACCTCCAACTTTATATTGTTTATTAAATCATTTAGATTCATGCAATTTGAATTAACTACAACACATTTTAAATTGTTTATGTATCTTGCTGAAATGATGCTTTTGCCATTATGAAATATTCCTTCTTTATGAGACTACTCCTTTTCTTGAAGTCTTCTTTATCTGATATTCATAATTCCACTTTCATATATTTAATGTTTCATGGCTTTATGTAATTAAAGTACATGCCCTGTAGACACCATATAGTTGAGTCTTGCTTTGTAATGTAGCTTGACGAGCTTTGCCTTTTAATTGTACTTTTGAATCCTCTTATATTTAATATAATAGTTCATGTGATTAGGTTTAAGTCTACCCACTTGAGCTTTGTTTTCTTCTTGCCCTTTTGCCCTTTCTCTCTACCTCTTACTTCTTGCCTTCTTTTGATTTAATCAAGTATTTATTAGAATTTTATTTTATCTTTTGTACTTGTATTTTTAGCTAAATTGTCTCATTTATGCAGTAGTTACTCAAGGGATTAAAATATATACTTAAATTTATCAAAGCTTATCTTAACTTCACATTATATTGCTTCACGTATAAGATAAGAACCTGAGAGTAGCATTACCTACATTTACCTTTTTAAATGGATTTTTAAAGAATTTCAGAAAAGAAAATAAACTAATCTTTTATATTTATTCATATTTCCAGCTTTTTTTTTTTTTTCTTGAAATGGAGTCTTGCTCTGTCCCCCAGGCTGAAGTGCAATGGTGCAATCTTGGCACACTGCAACCGGCCCCTCCCAGGTTCAAGTGATTCTACTGCCTCAGCTCCCCCAAGTAGCTGTGACTACAGGCCCATGCCACCGTGCCTGGCTAATTTTGTATTTTTAGTAGAGTTGAGGTTTCACCATGTTGGCCAGGCTGGTCTCGAAGTCCTGACTTCATGTGATCCACCTGCCTCAGCCTCTCAAAGTGCAGGGATTACAGGCATAAGCCACTGTATTCTTTCCCATAGAACCACATTTTTGACTGACATAAACTTTCCCTCATTAAAAATCTCATGTAGAATGTCAGGTAAACCTGAGGGTGATAAATTTTCTTAGTTTTTTCAAAATACAGGGTTAGTATATTCCCTATATGAAATGCTTGGGGCCATATTGTTTCATATTCTACACTTTTCTGGATTTTGGAATATTTGCATTATACTTATTGGTTCAGCATCCCTGATTTGAAAATTTGAAATCCAAAATGCCCCAGTGAGCATTTTCTTTGACCATAATGTCAGTATTCAAAAATCTCTGATGTTAGAGCATTTTGGATTTCAGATTTTTAGGTTAGGGGTACTCGATCTGTATTAAAATATATCCATACCATCATTATTTTGGGATAATTTTTGGTTTTGCTGATATAAAATTCTAGGTTTGTAGGTTTTTAATTTTTTTCAGCATCTTGAAAATGTCATTCCATTGCTCTTTCGGCTAATATTGTTTCTGAAAAAAAGTGCCTAGATGTGTTTTTTTTGTGTGTGTGTTCATCCTGTTCATAGTACATAAAGCACCATAGACCTGTGAGGTTTTAGTTTTTTTGTCAAGTTGGGTAAATTTTAAAATAGTACATATGGATACACACTTTCTGTTCCTTCCTCCCTTTCTTTTTATCCCCCACAGGTCACTGGAACCTTGTTGTTGCTATTTTTATTATTCTCTATGTTTTTCACTATAAAAATTGCTATTGACTCGTGTTTAGATTTATTTATCCTACCTTTGGCAACGCCTAATACTGCTGCTAAGCCAGTCCAATGATTTCATGTATTTTATTTTGTAATTTTAAAACGAAATTTTTTCTTTTGAAATTTTCCATGCCTGTCATATTTATACTCTCCTTTATATTATTTTCTATATTCATGATAGTTAAAGTTCTATTCTGTTAAGTCCAAAGTGTCAGTCATTCGTATAATTGTTTCTATTTACTTTTTTGCTTGATTAAAAATCAAATTTTACCTTTTCATATGTCTGGTTGTTTCTCATTGAAGACTGGTCACTGTGGATTTCATTCTATTTTTTTTTTTTTTTTTTTTTGAAGAGCATTGATCTTTGCTCCAACAGGTAGCAAAGATCAATGCTATTCAAACTGTTCAAATTAGGATTAGGTTTGGTTTGAGTCGACCTATTTCAGATTTTCTCTCTGGTGTATGATGCATTCTTCAGTCTAGCTATATGGTTCTAATTCCTAAACCAAGACCCTAATGTGCTTTCAAGTAGATAAAGCTCAATATTGTAATTTGGTTCTCTAACTTGGTAGAATTTGGACTTCAAACTCTCCTCCCTAGTCCTACATACAAATCTCTGCCCAGTTCTTAAGTTTACCCAATATTTCTTAGTTTTTTAAAGAGGACTTTACAGTCAAATTTTGACCTCATACTTTTATGTTCCCTCCTTTTTAGTTTCCTTCCCTCTCAACTTACAGATGTTCTGGAAGCACTAGATTATAACCTGAGACTCCTAAGCCCAGGAAAGCTGCCACAGTGGGCTTGAGCCCTCTCTTTGGTGTGTCAAGAAGCTAAAGAAACTATGGACAAAGAGCTAACAAGAACAAGAAGAATGATATTTCATTAAATAGAGATATCAATAAAAAAGATAGAAATGATCCAAAGGTTTAACGAGAGCTCTGCCTCTCTATTTGTTTCTTTTTTTTTTTTTTTTTTTTTTTTTTTTGAGGTGGAGTCTTGCTCTGTTGCCCAGGCTGGAGTGCAGTGGCATGATCTTGGCTCACTGCAACCTCTGCCTCCTGGGTTCAAGCAATTTTCCTGCCTCAGCCTCCCGAGTAGCTGTGATTATAGGCAAGTGCCACCACGCCCGGCTAATTTTCATATTTTTAGTAGAGACAGGGTTTCACCATGTTGACCAGGCTGGTCTCAAACTCCTGACTGCATGATCCACCTGCCTCTGCCTCCCAAAGTGCTGGGATTACAGGCGTGAGCCACCGTGCCTGGCCCTTTCTCTCTATCTGATGGAAAAGATGATCTTCAGCAGCAACATGTTACATGATGCTTGGTGCATTTTAGATTTTTAATTGACCCTGATTTCATCATGCCAACTCTTTTGTCACTCTACCCTTGTGGTAGAGAAATGGGCTCATGTAAATGACAGCCCCATCAGATGGAAGAAGACATTTTCTGATACAAAGAAAATTATAATCAGAAAAAGGAAGAAATGTTGCAAGATAATTAAAAACAAATAAAGAAAATATAAAATATTGCCTAGAACTAGGTTTTTATTTTATGTATATTA
The DNA here is from genome assembly GCF_000001405.40 of Homo sapiens. Taxonomy (NCBI): domain Eukaryota; kingdom Metazoa; phylum Chordata; class Mammalia; order Primates; family Hominidae; genus Homo; species Homo sapiens. Next base: position 102,291,321 of record NC_000009.12, read on the forward strand.
TGTAAATATTCTCCTCCATAACACAGTGAATCTACTCCCTTGGAACTAAGATCTGTCTCTTCCATAGAGGGAGAAAACTCACTCCTTATGTAGTTCTGAGTCTAGAAACTCCAGATGATGTTCATTTTTCTTGGTCAACTGCAGTTCAGTGAATTTGTAGTTGTGTAGTTGTTAGTCATTTTGCCTGATCCAAATTCTGTTATCAGGGAACATCTTCCCTATCCATCCCTTGTTCTTTATTGGCATCACGGAAGAAAGATTCTTCCCTGAAGAAAGTTCTGGCTGCACTTTAATCTACCATTTTTATTTAGCATGATTGCAGGGACACAGGTTTTTGTTTGTTAGGGCTCTCTTTGGAAATATTTTTTAAAACTTGCATATGAGGCAATTTGCATACTTTTATTCCAAGTTCTAGTAACCAAACCTAAAGACGCAGTTTAGTTGTGGTCTTTAAATGTAGAGCCTGCCTTAAGGCTTTCTGTTTTGGCAGCACTTCTGAGCAGTGTGCTCATACCTTAGCCTTCAGTTAAACTGCTTCCATTATTCATTTACCTCAGAAATGAAAGGCTGTAGTTATATGAGACCCAACTAATCTGATTCTACTCCCACACTACATTTTAGGGATATAAATATTATCTTTGTCAGTACATGAAGCAAAGTGTTTAGACAGAGCTTAGGGCATTTGCCTGCACTGTGGCTGTTCTTAGGTTGTAATATTTTATTCCCATTATTGTCTCCAATTTCTTACCTTTCATGTACTAATATTAATTTGAGGATAGGTAGTTGACTTTTCCAACTGAACAGGGTACATACTTATTTGACTCTGAATCATTTGGATTGCTGACTCGAAGCAGAAAACTCTTTTTAAACAAAGCTGTATTTTCTTTCATCTTTTACATGAGCAGCTTGAATAAAAGCTTCACTTTTTCTAGTGTATCTTATTGAAAAAGGCATAAGAAGCAAATATTACCAATATCCGAGCTTTTTTCTACCAAGTCCCCTGAAGACCTGTCTCAGATAGACAAATGGGTAGTAGCCAAAAATACAACAGGCAAAAATTTGTCCAGGAGCTTAACATCCTCAAACCTGAAGGTGGAAAAATGTTCACTCTTTAGTACATTTCTTTATTATTAGTTTTGCTAATGTAGAGTTTGTTAAATGCATGGACTACTTTCATACTTTTTAGAGCTTTTTTCTATTATAATGGCAGAAAACAAATTCAAAACAGTTTCGGCACAAAGGGAAATGTATTCGCTTCCTGTTTAGCTAGTACCTATGGGAGTGATACTTTTATATTGTATTTTAAATGGTAATACACTATGCTGTAGGAAAAAAATGATGTATAAATGAGCCAAAAGAATCAAATGATAGAGATCATTTATCACATATGGATCAGGGATTAAAATAGTATAATATAATGATCAATAATCTAAAGCATTTACTCCTGTCCAGACACTTTTCCTATAGGAAGGTATCTTCACTGGACTACATATACCTCCATAGAAATATAAAGGAAAGTTATTAGGGAATGAAGCAAACAATTTGATGAGAGAGAGCAGTTATCCATCTATATGGGTAGAAAATGAGTTGTGGATGGAAGGCAAATTGTTGGGCATTATCTGTGGAGCATAACAATAGTAGATCTGATTGTCATGTTGAAAGCCAAATTATAGAAATCAATGTGGTCAATGAAGAATTTTTGAAGAAATCTACTCATAATTGACTTTCAGTTCAATCTCAGCAGAAGCTTTAGCATTATTCTGTTTTTATTTTTGTTTATTTATTTTATTTCATTACATTAAAGAATATAAAAGATCACAGAGTTGTTAGCATTTCATCTAGCTGAGCACTTTAACAGATGTTTAAATAGATTTAAAAAGGAAACTTTATAGATTTCTGTAAAAAATAATGGTAACCTGTTTTGTTAGGTTAAAAACCAAACCAGAAACTCACCCATACAAAATAAGACTTGCTTTATGGGCCAAGGCAAGGAGGAGTAATTTTAGACAGTAGTGCCCATAAAAGTGTTCACAGCCTGCTGTAAGTCTAACAATATTATCTGTATTTTATCTTCTAAGTCACCTTGGGATGAAAGAAAACATACTTTTCATTTCTAGGTAATGATAATTTCATTTTGAGAGTAGTATCACTTAAGAAAAAGAAAGCCAGCAATTAAGCTGATTTCAAAATAAACATTTGATAACCATTGTTTTTTTAAAAAAGTAATGGTTAACTAAATTAAGTTAATCTAACCAGACTGATATATGTTCTGATAGGAAATAAGTGATTTTATATATATATAGTTGATTGCACTTAAATGTGCTCATTTCTCATGCAACTTACAAAGTTATGCAAATCTAAAAATCATACAGAATCAATGAAAATTTTTACCACCATTTTTCAGAGTTCTGCAATAAAGCAAGTAATAAAGTCAGAATGTGAAGCAATGACTTCATAGCATTTATGAGAAATAAAGAATATATTGTTATTAAGAACTTTAAAGAAAGATTACTTTAGAGCTTTAACTTTAGCCGAAAAATGGCCTTATATAAAAGATTCATGACCTTGACTTGATTAATTCAATGTTTTATTGCCTTATACTTGGTTTAAGTTAGATTAGCTGCTATTAAAAAAGTTTCACCTTCAGAGCATCTTCTCTGTTATCTAGAACTCAATTTAGCATCCATAAGGTCACTTTATCTATAATATCTTCTATTTAATCTTCACTGTTACAATTCCAATATTTGGGCAACAAATATCAGTGGTTTCCATCTGTATTTTCAGTGGCTGGTGCTTAACCATAGTAAAAAGAATAATTTTATAGTAATTATGAACAGTTTTGAATGATTTTTATTATCTTCTGCTCAATACTCGATCACTGTATTGATTAGCCTTCCTGAAAACCAATAGTTTTATAAAATCAACTTCATAAATAATATGGGAAATATTATTATTAAAATAGAAATGCTAAAGTGCCATCTCTTACCAGGAGAATACTATGTGAAGGGAGCTGACCTTTGAGATACAAATTGGTGGAGGAGGCCTTAAAATGGTAGAGTTTTTATGAGCATTTGTAGTTAAATTATTATCAGCTTAAATTAGACTGTTAGTATCATGATGGTTAATTTTAGGTGTCAACTTTACTGGATTAAGGGATACCTAAAGAAGTGGTAAATAATCATTTCTGAATGTGGCTGTGAAACACACAGAGGAGACTGGCCTGTCAGACAGTGAACTGAGGGGATAGATTCACCCTTAATGTGGATGGGTATCACCTAACATCTATGCAGGCTGGGTTCCTAGATAGAACAAAAAGGCAGATGAAAAGTGAATTATTTTCTTTTCTCCCTCTGTCCCGGGAGCTAGGACACTCATCTCCTGATCTTGAATATGAGAAATTCAGGCTGTCTGGCCTTTGTACTCTTTGACTTACACCAGTGCCCCAAGTTTCTCATGCCTTCAGCCTTGTACTAAGAGTGACACCATTGATTTCCCTGTTTCTGATGCTTTCAGACTTGGACTGAGTCACATTACTGGCATCTTTAGGTCTTCAGCTTGCAGAAGGCCTGTTGTGAGACTTCTCAGCCTCAATAATTATGTGAGCCAATTCCCATACTAAATTATCTCTTTATCTATCTATCTATCTATCTATCTATCTATCTATCTATCTATCTGCCTGCCTACCTACCTACCTACCTACCTACCTACCTACCTACCTACCTACCTACCAACCAACAAATCAACCATCTCTCTATCTGTCTGTCCAATCTGTTTATCTATTATATTGTTCGGTCTCTCTGGAGAACCATGACTAATACAGATTCTAAATGTTTCAGCATATTATTTCATTTAATAATTGCAAGAAATCTATTTGCTTGTTTTTATAGATGAGGAAAGACGACTAGAACACATCTATTTATGTCAAACCATCTCAAATTACTGATTACCACCACTTCCATCAGAAAATTGCAATAAAATAATCATTGTAGTATTGAATGCTAGAAATGATGATTTTGCTTCACCTCAGAATATCAGAGAATTAGACTAGATAAAAAAATTAGCTTGGTGCAAAAGTAATTGCGGTTTTTGCCATTAAAAGTAATGACATAAATTGCAATTACTTTTGCACCAATCCAGTAACTCTCAAGACTAGTTCCTATTACGCTTTTAAACCTTGCTGTAAAACCTCCTTAGAAAAAGATGCCCATGATATAGTCATCTAACTGAAAGGAGGGGAGAGAAAGAAGTAGGGAGAATAAACACATTAACACTTAATAATTGGTCAGGCCACTCAAGTGTTATAATTATTTTTTTAATTAATAATATAGTTTCCATATCAGGATGAGGAGGCATGAAGTCCTGGGAAATCTATACAGCAGGGTGTCTAGGGAAGGTAATTTGGGAGGGATTTGAAGGAGTAGAAGGAAGATTATTTAAGGAAGTGTTTTAGTCAGAAGTTTCTTCTGGTCTCTACTGGGTCCCCTGTGGATTATAGTAAGCTGTGGACTAGGCAAGAGTTGCCTTTGCTGGTTGGAGTATCATCAGGGGCTAAGCTGCTGTGGCTCTGATTTATGAGATCTTTTCTCCTCAGGTTAGCTTGAACATTTTCACATAGTGGTTCCAAGATTCCACAGAGTAAGCAAAAGTGTGCAATAATTCTTGAGGCCTTAGCTTTAAACTGGCACATATCATTACTTCTGATTACCTTAGCCAAGAAAAACCACAAAGCCATCCAGATTTGAGGCAAAAAATCAAAGACAGAAAATTTTTAAGCACAGTAGAGAAAAGAAATTTTTCATGTACAAGAGAACCTCCATATGGCTATCAACAGGCTGAAATCTTGTAGGTTAGAAAAGAGTAGGATGATATATTCAAAGTACTGGAGGAAAAAAATCCAGTCAATAATACTTTGCTGGGCAAAGCTGCCCTTCAGAAACTAAAGAGAGAGAAACACTTTTCCAGACAGATAAAAGCTAAGGGAGTTCATCAACAGTAGATCTTCCTTACAAGAAATGCTTCAGGGAGTTCTTCAAACTGACACAAAATTATGCTGATTAGTAACAAGGAAACATACAACGGTAGAAAATAACTGGTATGGTAAATATACAGTCAAGTTTGGTAGACTCTACCTCTACATGGAAGTTGCTGCAAAAAACCTTATGTAATGTAAAATGTTTGGATAAAGAGAGGTGTCTATTTTTTATTACTGAGAAGCAGAAAATTTAAAAACAGATTCTGGTAAAGAAAGACAGGAGAAGCCTATTCCCAAATCTTTATTATGTAAGTGGTTTAGTAATCTAGAGTTTGGAACCTTTAGGACTTATGTTTGGTAGCAGCAACTGTTTTCAGAGGAAATTAGGGTGATGGGAAATTTCAAATGATCTGCTCCAGATAATTAATAAAAATATGGAATCAAAATAATCTAAAATGTAAATAATTCAAATTCCATTGGCTTGTAAGCATATCGATCTCCCCAGCAAATAACAAAGTTTAAAACACTTTTGCAGACTATTACTTGTTATGAGTTTCATGTATATTAATCAAATTCCCAAATCCAATGTACGGTATGTTTTAATTGTGTAACTTACACAATCTGAAAAATACAAACGATACTTTACTAGTCATTTAAAATCAGGGGGTGCTAAAAAGGCAATGATTCCAAATTTATGTTTAAGAAATTAAAACACATATTCAAACAGTCAAGAGCAATATATATACCTTATGGTTTTGTGAAACTAGAATCATTCTAGTTATTTGCTTCATTCTTCGTGCAACATACAACAGTGGTAAGAGGAGACTAGAAAGTACTTCTCTAAGAAGATACACAGAGCCCCCTTAACCTTATTAGAAAAATTCTTCACATTGTTTGGGTCATCACAGTGAAGTATGAAATGGAGTTCTTTCAGACGAAAACAATCAGATGTGATGAAAAGTTTGGGCAACAGCCCCTATGAGATAAAGTAAATGAAACTGTTCTCTTTTGACCTAAACGAAGAAAGAATGATTCGGGATTTACTGAGAGACTAGAGTGTATGAAATGGCCCTGCACGATAGATGAGAAGCAGTTTTCCTTTTCTTAGACACAAGAGGAAAAGGGTTCTAATTAGATTATAAATCAGAGAGACAGTCTATCCTATAACAGTTACAAGATCCTGGAAAGAATTATTTTAAGAATAAGAGTCGAATCTGCTACTCTGAATGAGAAGAGTCAATATTAATGGTACTTTGAAGAGCTTGGGCTGAGAGATGGCTTAGTTGACCTCTTCGTGAACACTTTAGCCCTGTGACTTGGTAAAAGGAGGTCTCAGTATAATCTTTCAAAGAAAAATTCAAAATGGATCACTACAGTTCTGAATGGAAATGGAATCTGTATAAAAGATTCCAAATAAATCACTCCTCATTAACAACTATTTAAGTCGATGAAAAAAATAAACACTAAAAAAAAATTCCATAATTGTCTACCAAATCACTGAAGTATCAAATGCTAATATCTTACAATAATTTGAATGCTAACATCTTACAAAAATGTTAAAAACAAAAGGGCATAAAAGAGCAGGGGCTACCAGCAGTTTCTTGCATTTCGGGAGGTAAAATCTGAACAATAACTTACAAGGATAAAAATAAACCAAGAAAATCTGCTAATAATTCATATGGCAGAATATTAGTTCAATATAACTTCTTAAAGTATTCTGTAGCAGAAGAATCGATTGAACTCGGGAGGCAGAGTTTGCAGCGAACCAATATTATGCCATTGCACTCCAGCCTGGGCGACAAGAGCGAAACTCCGTCTCAAAAAAAAGCTTCCAAAATACAGAAGAAAATAATAAAACATAAATCTACCAGTCTAAAGAATAGAATAATACAGAAAAAAATAATGTATGGTATGATAAGCATAATCATAAAAATAGATAATGAAAATATAATTCAAAATACAGAAACAATCATGAACACAATGGAAGAGGAAAAAAAAGACTGAAATAGGTCACAGCCTCTAAAAAACTCAGAGAAAACAATTCCTCAAATAAATACATTCTGACTTGCTTTTTCCTATTTCAAAAAAAAAAAATTCTGAACTTTAAAAAGAAAAACAAGTAAATATAAGAAAACAGTCTTCTAAGGAACAAAAATTATTTTAATTTCAGAATTTCCTTTGCAATAACAAACATTAGAAGACCGTAAAGTTCTGTTGTGACAATTTTGAAGAAAAACAACATGTCATGTATTTTACTCTCAACTTAAATAAATATATGTGATGTATGATAGTAAACGAAAATACAAGCTTATATATGCAAGGGTCCTAAAAATAGTATATGTGCCAGGACAAAATGAAAATATTTAAATATACATGTTAAATAATGAGAGAAATAGGAAAATGAAAATGTTAGGAATAGAGAGTTCATGGTATAAATGTTTGAGAATAAGTAGAGAAAAACAAAAATATATTTTAATAATTGTAGCTATTCTTATGAATATTAAAACAGATATAAAAATATACTTAAACCCAGTGAAAATATATATGTTGACCATATGTCAAGCATGCCAAAAGAAGAGTTTGGGGAGCTCCCACTGACAAATTCAAAACAACTTTAACATAAAAATGAATAATACCATAATTTAATTATATATAACAAATGAACAAATAGCAATTAAATGGGGGGGGAAGGTAAAAGCACTTTACCAAACAATTGCAACTAAATCATGAGGGAGATAGATGTTTTGAAATCAACATTCTAAAAAAAGTGTAATGTAATTTTTTAAAATTTGGGGGGTCCTTTTTTAATTTTTAATTTTTAGTTTTTAATGTTGTGGGTACATAGTAGGTGTGTATATTTATAAGGTACATGAGATGTTTTGATACAAACATGCAATATGAAATAATCACATCATGGAGAATGAGGTATCCATCCCCTCAAGCATTTATCATTTTGGAAACAGACAATACAATTACACTCCTTCACCAGCCTCTCACTACCCTTCTCAGCCTCTGGTTACCATCCTTCTACTCTCTATGCTCATGAGTTTAATTCCTTTGATTTTTAGATTCCACAAATAAGTGAGAACATGAGACATAATAATTGTACATATTTGGGAGGGGCGTTGTGATGTTTTGATGTACTATATACACTGTAATAATCAAATCAGGGTAATTGGCATATCTGCATTTCAAATATCATTTATTTGTGGCAAGAACATTAAAAATCTTCCCTTCTAGTGACTTTGAAATGTACATTGCATTACTGTTGACTATATCATCCTACTGTGCAATGGCGCACCAGAATTTATTTCTCCTAACTATAACATAGTTCATTTAAAAATGAACATAATAATAATTGATTCAGGCAAAGATCATCAATAAATGTTAAAATCATTGGGAGAAAGACTGTTAAAAAGTATAATATTTACACGGTTTCATAGAATTGGCCCAAAGAATGGTTGTTAATTGCAAAAATAAAAATATTTTTTTTACCATGTAGAAATCTGGGAGGTACCACCTTAACACAGTGATCAAATTTATAACACAAAAGTAACAGAGTTTGACCTGTATTTTGACTTCATTGTTATCTGGTATGTTGCATAGAGAAGGGAACGATATCACTACGTGTTAATAGTATCTGGAAAGAAAAAAAATTGACTCAACCTGATCATTAGGAAACAATGTAACAAACTCAAACTGACAGAAATTCTGCACAACTACTGGGTTGCATGCATAAAATATTTCATGGCACAAAATACAAAGTTTTGGGGAACTGCATTTTGTTTGTTTCTTTCTTCATTGCTTTAATTTATTAAAGAAGACTGGAGGATCATGACAACTAAATAAAATGTTTACTGAATCATTGCATCCTGGATGAAAACAAGCAAACCAAAAGCAATAAAGGATAATATGGAAACAAGCAGAATAATTTCAATATGGACTGTCATTTAGCTATCAATATTACATTGATGTTAAATTACATCAGTGTTTGCGTTTGTGTGTGTGTGATTTTTTAAGAGAAAAATAATGTACATGATCTGAAGTATTTAGAGAAGAAATGCCATATTTTCTGTAAACTGTCATACATACATGCACACACATATAAATGCACATATATATGAGTAAATATAGATAATAGATTTGTGTGTGTGTGTGTGTGTGTGTGTGTGTGGAGAGAGAGAGAGAAATGGTGCATCTGGGTATATATAGGTTTTTGTGTTCTTATAATTTTTGTATAGATTTGAAATTCTTAAAAAGTTTGGAGAGAATTTCTCTATTCTTGAATATTAAAACTATAATCCTATATGCATAAATTTATATGGATATATGCATATAAATAAGTTGGAAGATATATATCACCACAATACTGGTAGTTATTCCAGGAGAGTCAAAATATCAATATTTTTTATTTTATCATTAATAATTTTCTATGTTTTCCAAACATTTTATTGTGGACAAATTCACTCTTATTCACTGATAAGAAACAACAGAAATAAAATTTCAAAATAATTTAAAAGCATGTGCTTTTGAATGATTTTCTCCAAAAGTCATGAAACTTTTCCCATTTATAATGTTAATATCCTCTACTAAGTAATTCATTTCTCATGTTACTTGCCATTGCAAAGATTTATTCATAGCTTTACAGTTCCTCCCTCATTGTCAGCTGTAAGTACACAGTCCTTCATTTCTCTTAAGGAGATCTGTTCTGTCCTTTCAACATTTACATTGCTCATCTTGGAATACCTTCTAATGTGTTTACGCATTTCTAGGACACATTTCCAGAAAAAAATAATAGAAAATACTTAACTAAATGCATAAAATCATAAACACCTGAAATGGTGTTAATTGTGGTGCTTATGAGGACTGTCTTTGGGATCAGACAAGCTTATCTGAATTACATATTAGTCAGTTAGTAACTTTTGTATCTTGCCAGTTTCTTAGCTTCTCATATACTTTGTCTTGTCATTAATTTCATGGTCCACTAAAAAAAGTAAATGAGAAATTTGATAATGCAAAGGGAATGCAATCTATACTTAATAATTGTTAACTTTTTCCCCTTTCTGAAACATGCCCATTATCAATACAGGAGAGCTGGTACTCCTTTCATTTTAAAACATTCAGTATTATTAGAAAAAGAACAAGACTTACAATCCTTCTAAGAATTTTAAAGTGTCTCACTAAGCAAGATAGTAAATTATTGGCTTAGTTATTTAATATTCACCATTGAAAATCCAGTGAACAGGGAAAATCACTAAATAAATATTCATGTTTATTAAAATAAAATGCTTCATTTGCAAAATTCATGTTGTAAGAAACCCTAACTTAGAACCTTTTTCTCAGCAAAACCTTTATAAATTTAGAAATTTTTAGAAAACATTTATGTTATTTCATAAGATTTTGAAAAGCATCTTAGTATGTATGTATGTATGTATGTATTTAGACCAAGTCTTGCTCTGTTGCACAGGATGGAGTGCGGTAGTCTGACCTCTGCTCGCTGCAGCCTTGATCTTCTGGGCTCTAACGATCCTCCCACCTCAGCCTCTCAAGTAGCTGGGACTACAGGCATGCCACCATAGCAGGCTAATTTTGTTTTGTATTTTTTTAGAGATAGGGTGTTACTCTGTTGCCCAGACTGGTCTTGAATTCCTGGGCTCAAGCAAATCTCCCACCTTGGCCTCCCAAAGTGCTGGGATTACGGGCATGAGCCACCATGCCCGGCCTTGGAAAGGATCTCTTTAGGATGAAGAGGACAATTTATACAAAATTTTCTTTGAAAATTTATGTCTTCCTCCCAAACCTCTTAAGCCTTGTAACTTTATCTTTTTGTTTCAATAATTTCTTTCTTTTACTTCTTCTAGTATATAATTTTGGAAGGTTATATTTTTCTTTAAATTTACTATTGGGAGATTTTCACAAATTAACCCAGAAGATAACTTGTTAAAATATTCTCCTAAAATAATATTGCATACTGCCTATTTGCATTATTTTGCTCATTTCTCCTGATACAGATTTTAAATTTGATTCTGTTGCATGATTGTGAATTACAGAACCGGAATACATATAAAACGAGAGAGATTAATGAAGAAACGGAACCTATGAAATAACTTTTTTTTCCACTTCAAAAATGTACTGGGAATTTGAGAAGTGATTACTTAGTTTTCTAGTTTGTTTAGAGCACCGAGCTTAGGTTTCAATTGTTCTTTGTCTTGTAACAAAACTCATGTTACTTCTTGCTTCCTAATAGATCCTGACTTAAAATTTTAGAGAGAATTTTTGACTGAAATTCTGTTATAGTTTGTTGAAAGTCTCAGTTTTTAGTACTGTGAAAAAATTTGTATTCTGAGCTTTCATAGTAATGCTTAGTAAAAAATTAAACTGATTTTTTTTTCAAAAACATTAGTGGAAAGCTTGTGAAATCCAAATAAATCTGGAGCTTAGCTAATAGAAATATAGCCATGCTGGTTTCTTAGCTGTCATAAATATCATGATTATGTAAAATGTCAAAATTAGAAGAAACTAGGTAAAGGGTATACCATAATGCTGTACTATCTTTACGATTATTCCGAACAAATAAACTTATTCTAAATAAAAATGTTTATTTAAAAATATATAGACATATATTTTAATTTCAACATTTATGTCAAATACAGGGGTATAAGTACAGGTTTGTTACATTGGAATATTGTGTGATGCTGAGGTTGGGGGTATAGATCCCATCACCCGGATAATCAGGATAGTATGCAAAAGGCAGTTTTTCAACCTGCTCCCCTATTCCCACTCCATCTTGCAATAGTCCACAGTGTCTATTTTCCCATGTTTATATCCATGTGTGCTCGATGTTTAGCTTTTACTTATAAGGGAGAACCTGTGGTATTTGGTTTCTTGTTCCTGCATTAATTCCCTTAAGATTGTGTCCACCAACTGCATCCATGTTACCGCAAAGGACATGATTTTATTCATTTTTTATGGGTCTGTAGTATTCTATAGTGTATATGTACCGCATTTTCTTTGTCCAATCTGCCATTGATGGGCACCTAAGTTGATTTTATGTCTTTGCTATGGTAAATAATACAGTAATGCACACATGAGTGCATGTGTCTTTTTAGCAGAATGACTGATTTTCCTTTAGGTACATACCTAGTAACAGGATTTCTGGGTCAATAGTATCTCCAGACTTCTTTCTATGGTGACTGGACTAAATTACATTCCAACAAACAGTGTATAACTGTTCTGTGTTCTCCAAAGCCTTGCCAGCATCTTTTTTCCCCCTTTTGATAATAGCTATTCTGACTGGTGGGAGATGGTATTTGTATTAGTCCAATTTTACACTGCTATAAAAAATTGCCAAGATGGGGTAATTTATAAAGAAAAAAGGTCTAATTGGCTTACATTTTAGCATGGCTGTGGAGGCCTCAGGAAAATTACAATTATGGAGGAGGGCAAAGAGTAAGTAAGGCACCTTCTTCACAAGACAGCAGGAAGAAGAGCCAAGCAAAGGGGGAAGAGCCCCTTATGAAAACCATCAGATTCCATGAAAACTCACTATCATGAGAACAGCATGGGGGAAAACACCCCCATGATTCAATTATCTCCACCTGGTCTTTCCCTTGACATATGGGGATTATGGGGATTACAATTCAAGATGAGATTTGGATGGGGACACAAAGCCTAACAAAATCAGTATCTCATTGTACTTTTCATTGCATTTCTCTGATGATTGGTAATGCTCACCATTTTTCATGTTTGTTGGTTGTTTGTATATCTTATTTTGAGAAGTGTCTGTTCATGTCATTTGCCCATTTTAATAGGATTATTTATTTTGTCCTTGTTGCTTTAAGTTCCTCATAGATTCTTGATATTAAGCCTTGTCTGATGCATAATTTGCAACCATTCTGTAGGTTGTCTGTTTAATCTGTTGAGTTTCTTTTGCTATGCAGAAGGTCTTTAGTTTAATTATGTTCAATTTGTCTACTTTTTTTGTTGCAATTGCTTTTGGGGACTTAGCCAAAAATTATTTTGTTAAGGTTCATGTCAAGAAGAGTATTTCCTAGATTGTCTTCTAGAATTTTCATAGTTTAAGGTCTTACATTCAAATGTTTCATTCATTTTGAGTTAATTTTTGCATATGGTAAAAAAGTATGGGTCCAGCTTCAGTCTTCTGCCTATGGCTAACCAGTTATTCCAGCACCATTTATAGGGAGTGTTTTCACTATTTCTTGTTTTTCTTGACCATGTCGAAGATCAGATGATTGTAGGTGTGCAGATTTCTCAGTTTTATATTATTTCCATTGGACTATAAATCTGTTTTTGTACCAGTACCATGCTATTTTGGTTACTGTATTTTTAAAGTATACTTCAAAATCAGGTAGTATGATGCCTCTTGCCTTGTTCTTTTTTGTTTAGGATTGCTTTAACTATTTGGGTTCTTTGGTAGTTCCATGAATTTTAGAATAATTGTTTCTAGTTCTGTCAAGAATGGCATTAGTAGTTTGATAGGAATAGCATTGAATGTATGGATTGCTTTAGGTAGTATGGACATTTTTATTTTTATTTTTGTGAACACCATTATATTTTATCAGTCACTTTCATAATCTCTGAGAGGATTATACAAAGAATGTTTTCTGAAATTAGATGAAAAGAAAATTATATATTATGTCCATGGTGAGCAACAGGCAAACAGACAAACCAAAAAAAGAAAAAAGAGAGAGCATTTGCACAAGATGATTCTAAGCCAGGAGCAATAACATTTTAGATAAATGAATTTAATACAAAGCAGAGAAAATAGATCTGCTTTCAAAATCTTTGAAATTTCTGATTTGCTGATAAGATAGCAACACTTGTAAAATTATCTGTTTCATTCTAATATTTTTCTTTTCTTTTCAAAATAGGTATAAAACCATATACAAATGATTACTTTATCTATAAATCTGTTACACGTAAAGTTTATTTTACAGTTATACGTCTGTATATTTAAATCCATATAAATCAAAACTAAAGGTCTGTATGTTTGTAGCAGACCAGACACATCACATGTTCAACAGAACTAAGGTAATAAAAATACAGTGAATTCAAAATGCCTTTTTAATGACAATGTGTGAACTTGTTTCAATAAACCAAAATAGTTGTTATTGTGTTAAAGCTATTTTACATTGAATGTGTATGTTGCCACTGATGTTAACTTATCCCATCTTACCCAAGGTTGTAGGTTAACAGATGGTAACAATATACTATTTGGTGATAGTGGAATAACATCTCTAGTGATTCCTTTGTCAGTGGTCTTTAATGTAAAATAATTTGGAGAATATGATTCCTACAACTTAACATTTTTGTTTTTCTTGTAACTACAGGTTACTAAGATGGTTGTAATGAAGATTATATGAGTATAATGGAGCTATATGTTTCTGAATTCTGAACAACTATTTACAAAATATTCTACTTTTTTCGGTAGTATGGACATTTTTAGAAAATTGATTCTTCCAACACATGAGCATGGAATCTTTTTCCATTTCTTTGTGTAATCTTTGATTTCTTTCAGCAGTGTTTTTAGTTCTCTTTATCAAGATCTGTCACTTCCTTTGTTATCCGTATTCCTAGGTATTTCATTTTCATTGTGGCTACTGTAAGTGCACTTGGGTTCTTTATTTCACTCTCAGCTTGGTTGTTGTTGGTGTGTAGAAATGCTCCTGATTTTTGTGCATTGATTTTGTATCCCAAAACTTTCTAAAAGTCTTTATTAGTTCTATATGCTTTTTGGCAGAGTCTTTAGGATTTTCTAGGTATAAAGCCATATTGTAAGCAAAGAGAGATAGTTTGACTTCTTATTTTCCTACTTGGATGTCTTTTATTTGTTTCTCTTGCCTGATTGCTCTGGCTAGGACTTCCAGTACTATGTTGAATAGGACTGCTGAGAGTGAGAATTCTTGTCTTGTTCCAGTTCTCAAGGGGAAAGGTTCCAACTTTTGCCCATTTGGTATGATGTTGGCTGTGGGTTTACCATAGCTGGTTAATATTATTTTGAAGTATGATCTTTCAGTGACTAATTTGTTGAGGATTTTATCATGAAGGTACATTAGATTTCATTGAAAGTCTTTCCTCTGTCTATTGAGATGATCATATGGTTTTTGCTTTTAATTCTGTTTATGTGGTAAATTGCAATTATTAATTTTCATATGCTGAATCAACCTTGCACCCCTCAAATAATGCCTATTTTATTGTAGTGTGTTATCTTTTTGATGTGCTGCTGGATTTGGTTGGCTAATATTTTGTTGAGAATGTTTGCCTGCATTTTCATCAAGGATATTAGCTTGAAGTTTGTTTTCTTTTTGTTTAATTTCATTGTTTCTCTGCCATATTTAGGTATCAGACTGATGCTGGCTTCATAAAATGAGTTAGAGAGGAGATCTTCCTTCTTATTATTTTTTTTTTTTGAATAGTTTCAATAGGATTACTATCATCTTTTCTTTGTACATCAGGTAGAATTTAGTTGTGAATCCCTTTGATCCAGGGCTTTTTTTCGGTTGGTAAGTTCTTTATTACTGATTCAATTTCAGAAGTTGATATTGTTCTTTTCATGGTGCAAGTCTCTTTTTTATTCAATCTTGGGAGATTGGGGGCTTCCAGAAATATATCTATTTACTCTTGGTATTCTAATTTGTGTCTATAGTAGTCTGGAGGATCTTTTGTATTTCTATGTGGTCAGGTGTAATATCATCTTTGTTGCTTCTGACTGTGCTTATGTGGATCTTCTCATTTTAATCTAGCTAATGGTCTATCGCTTTTATTTATTCTTTCAAAGAACAATATCTTGGTTTCATTGATTATTTGTATGGATTATTTTGACTCAATTTCATTCAGTTTTTCTCTAATTTTAGTTATTTATTTTCTTCTGGCTTTGGGGTTGAATTGTTCTTTTTTTCTAGTTCCTTTTGGTGCAAAGTTAGACTGTTAATTTGAGATCTTTCACATTTCTTGATGAAGGCATTTAGTGTTATGAACTTTCCTCTTAAGATTGCTTAGCTGTATCCTGGAGCTTTTGGTAAGTTGTATCCCTATTTTCACTAATTTCAAAGCATTTTTAAAATATCTGCCTGATTTTCACTGTTTACTTGATTTATTCGGAAGTAAGTTGTTTAATTTCTTTGTAATTGTGTAGTTTTGAGTCATCTTTTTGATATTTTTTCTTCCATTTTTATTACACTGTGATTTGAGAGTGTGCCTGGTATGATTTTAATTTTTTTTGAATGTATTGAGACTTGCTTTATAACCTGGTGTGTGGTCAATCTTGGCATATGTTTCATGTGCCAATGAGAAAAATGAGTATTTTGTGGTTCTTGGGTGAAGTGTTCTGTAGTTGTCTATTTGACTCAACTGCTCAAGTGGTGAGTTAAAGCCCAGAATTTCTGTGTTAGTTTTCTGTCTCAGTGATCTCTGTAATGCTGTCAGTGGGCTGTTAAAGCCTCCCATCATTGTTGTGTCACTAAGTCTTTTTGTAGGTCAAGAAGAACTTGTTTTATGACTCCAAGTGTTCCAATGATGGGTGCATGTATTTTAGCATTGTTAAGTCTTCTTGTTGGATTGTACCCTTTATCAAAATGCAATGCTCTTTATTGTCCTCAATTGTTAAAGTTTTGAAGTCCATTTTGTATGATATAACAACTCATATTCTTTTTTGTTTTCCATTTGCATGGTTAATCTTTCTTCATCCCTTTACTTTGAGCCTCTGGGTATTGATCCATGTGAGATGGGTCTTTCAAACACAGCAGATGGTTGGGTCTTCTCTTTGTATCCGGTTTACCACTCTGTGTATTTTAAGTGGGGCCTATAGTGCATTTACATTCAGGGTAAGTATTGATATGTGACATTTTCATTGTCATGGTGGTGTTAGCTGGTTGTTATGTAGATTTGGTTGTGTAGTTGCTTTATAGTGTCTGTGGGCTATGTCCTTAAATGAGTGTTTGTGGTAGCAGGTACCATTCATTTGATTCCATGTTTAGCATTCCTGTAAGGGCCTCTTGTAAATCTGGTCTAGTTGATATAAATTATCTCAGCATTTACTTGTCTGAGAAAGATTTTCTTTCTCCTTCAATTAAGAGTCTTAGTTTGGCAGAATATGAAACTCTTGGTTGGATTTTTTTTTTAAGGATGCTGAAAATAGGTCCCCAATCTCTTCTGGATTATAATGTTTCTGCTGAGTGGTCCAATGTCAGCCTGATAGGGGTCCCTCTTTATGTGACCTGACCTTTCTTTCTAGCTGCCTTTAAGTTTTTTCTCTTATATTGACCTTAGTGAACCTGATGACTGTGTGCCTTGGGATGGTCACCTTACATAGTATCTAGCCAGGGTTCTCTATATTTCATGAATTTACATGCCAAATTCTCTAGTGAGATTAGGAAATTTTTCATGAACTGTATTCTTAAATACATTTCAAAAGTTGCTTACTCTCTCTCCTTCTCTCTCAGGGATGCCAATGAATCATAGATTTGTTCCGTTTACATAATCCCATATTATTGAAAATTTTGTTCATTTAAATTATTTTTTCTTTATTTTTGCTGACTGAGTTGATTCAAAGAATTTGAGCTCTGAGATTCTTTACTTAGCTTGCTCTATTTTTCTGTTAATGCTTCTGATTGTATTATGAAATTCCTGTGGTGAATTTTTCAACTCAAGAAGTTCAATTTTGGTCTTTATTGAAATGGCTGTTTCTACTTTCAAATCTTGAATTGTTTTACTGAAATATTTGGCTTTCTTGGGTTGGGATTCCACTTTCTCCTCAATGTTGATAAGCATTCTTGCTATCTAGATTTTGAGTTGCATGTCTGTCCTTTTGGTAATTTTAGATTGATTAAGAACCATTTCTGAGGACATAGTGGATTCATTTTAAGGTGAGAAAAAACTCTGGCTTTTTTAATTGCCAGAGTTCTTATGCTGTTTCTTTCTCATCTGTGAGGGTTGGCTTTCCTTTAACTGTGGTGTGAATTTAGTTCATTAGCTTTATTTCTGGATATTTTCAGAGGGCTAAGGCTCTATATGGGTCTTTATTGTTGAATTATTGCCCTTGGCTTTGCAGAAGGGAGAATTAGTAGTGGTTTTGATGTTGTAGTGTGGGCTATGATCCAGTAGAAGGCTCTTGAGAGCAATGGGTGGTAGATATGCTGTTAGCCACCAGGCCACCTTTGTGTATCCTAGCTTTTATAGCTGTGCTCTGTGATGGGAGAAGAAGAGAAGTGACTCCCTCACCAGGTCTGCTCCTGGGCCTTGGGATAGAAACTTCCCATCACTGGCACTGTGCCAACAATTTGTTGTTGCTGTTGTTAGGTGTTTTGGGACATGGAGCTCCCTTGGGCAAAGGTCCAGCAGTGATACAGGCCCCACTTTTACTGTAACAGCCCTGTGGAGGAAGGTATGCAGGTTGTGCAACTTACCCTTCTGTTTACCTGTGTGACCCGCCCCTTGTTTTCTGAGAGTATGGGTTCTTCCCCTGCTTGAGAGCCAGGCACAGATACCAGTTCTACACTCCCAAGCCATGGGCCACAGTCCTGTGGCACCAGGACTTGGTCAGGACTCCCTTTTCCAGATTCTTGGGATTGGGTCCCAAGTGCACTGCGAGATCTGAAGGACAAACATGTCCCAGCCCTTCAGGTAAGCTGGCTCTGCCTCTCCCAGTCTGCTGGTTAGCTGGGACCAGAGCCTCTCAGATGGAGATGGGGATCCCTGGGGATGGGCACCTATGTCTGGACTTTGCCAGAGTTATCCCACATACCTGCTAAAGCCCTGTATCCATCTAATCTCTGGGGAGATTCCCCTGTCAGCTCAAACATCTGTGGAATGTATGGGGTCCTCTGCAGCTAAGATCCCAAAAGTCTATGGCAAGAATGAGCAGTCCCCCAGTCCCCTCACTCAGCTTTTCCCCAGGAGCCATTTGGGGCCAGGAACCATCCTTAGTATTCAGGCACACCACGTGGAGTTCTAAGCTTCCTCTCTCTTCAACCTCAGCGTCTGCATCTTTTCTCCATCCACATTTGGAATACTGTCTCCAATGATTTGTTCAAATTAAGTTAGTTTAGTTGAAATCTTGGTCCCTCTCAGCAGGAGCAGTACTTCCTGGAAGCACCTACTCAGCCATATTTTCCTTCACTTTCTATTGTTTTTTCTTATAACCATAACCTTTAAAGATTGATGGTAGTATCTCCTAAATCTATAATGTGGCCTTCTATGAGTTAACATAGAATGTTTTCAAAGTTTTATTCCAATGCTTTACTATGAGCTTCAGGCTTCTTTTTAGTACATTCATATTCCATATATACTCTATTTTTGTATGTATTATAACAAAGCTTTGAGCAAAAGTTCTAAAGTACACATAATTTTCTCATAATTGACTTAAGAACTGATGATGAGGTGTCTTCACATTCATCAGCTTCAATATAGATTAGAATTTTATAGCTGCCAAGAGATTAATAAAATGTCACTGTCTTTATTTTTAGTCAAGTGTAAATAGACACAAAATATACATAGTTTTCTCTGGCTCTAATCAATGAGTGGATTTTCTCATGATAAAATAACTTAGTTTATAAATAACAGTAAAATATTATAGAATATGACTAACACCTAGAAGTAATTCAATGAGAGTTGGTTTTTGCATCAAAGTTATGCATAGTCAAATTAAGTAGCTGGTATACATGTAGAATTTCCTAGAGTAGTTTCATATACATAATACTATTAATTCTCTCATTAACACTAACAGTTGATTTTATTGTTATTATTGACATTAAAGAGAAGGCTCAGAGAAATTACATAACTTGTATGAAATCACACAGTGGAGATTTGACATCAGATCTTTTCTATCTCCAAAGTCCTTGTACTTTCCATTATACTCTGTTGCTTGTCTAATTAAGATAATGCATCATATCTAGTTTTATCTCCTACTCCCTTTTAGGAGAAAAAATAGCCCAAATGTTTATAATGTTTCTTGCTGACAAGGGTTTCCTCAATGTGTCAGAATTTAAGTACTCTGGCTTTAGTGAAGAGTGCCGTATAATTTCTCTTATCTCAGTTATTACAAATTTAACTAGCTTAAAGTAGATTTTATTCATCATACCCTTCTACCTACGAATTTTGGCTTACTGGGCTTCAACTATTAGATGTCACCTTGACTCTCTGTAACAAGAGA